>NC_000012.12:31207418-31360113 GCF_000001405.40 Homo sapiens | reverse complement strand
CTATACACACAGAAAATCCATTATTAAAATAGTTCAACTTTTTCTCTACAATGTGAAAAACTACCGTAGTTCTGTAAACCAAGGTTTAATCAAGAGCAGATCAAAATTGAGTTCTGAAGTCTACATACTAACTTCTTGATAACATAAACAGGAAGAGGTATAAAAGGCTATTTTGGGCTGGGCACAGTGGCTCACGCCTGTAATCCCAGCACTTTGGGAGGCTGAGGCGGGCGGATCACGAGGTCAGGAGATCAAGACCATCCTGGCTAACATGGTGAAACCCTGTCTCTACTAAAAATACAAAAAAAAAAAAAAAAATTAGCCAGGCGTGGTGACGGGCGCCTGTAGTCCCAGCTACTTGGGAGGCTGAGGCAGGAGAATGGTGTGAACTTGGGAAGCGGAGCTTGCTGTGAGCCAAGATGGTGCCACTGCACTCCAGCCTGGGGGACAGAGCGAGTCTCCGTCTCAAAAATAAATAAATAAATAAATAAATAAATAAAAGGCTATTCTGACAGTGGGAGAGGCAATTTAGCATTTTATATAACTAAAATCAGCACTTCAAAGAACACTGCAGAGGGGCTTCTACTCTCAGCCAGTCTCCAGGACAATGTCTGAACTTGCCCTCCACCAAGCCATTTAGGGTTGTTTGCCATTTAAAATGATAAATACTAGTCATCACTTATAATAATTGGTATGGCACTTAAAGAAAGCAAAATAAAGTTGTCAGAGAAGGAGGCTGGTTGGGTTTGACTAGTTGCTCAGACAGTATTGTGTTGCTTTATTTAGGTCATAATGCCCAAATTCTCAGCTTTGGAGGGCCCCAACTCTCCTATTTTGCTAGGATAGTTGAGGTGATCACTCAGGCTCACAGAGCTAACAGTAACCAAACTCCTAAGAGACAGATGTGCAAGCCAGGTGCCAATGTGTAGTTTTATAGTAAGAAATATAATGCCAAGAGGAGCAGATGGTCAGTGTGGTCTCCCTTATGGGAGTAGATGTGAGACAGTGGGAAGACAGAAGTAAAACTAGAATAATGGAAGTCAGAGACCAGCAATTCTAAGTTTAGGACCTCAGAAGGGGAGAAGACCTTCATTACTGTGGTGAAGTGAAAATTCAGGTTACAATATAGGATGTACAGTGTAACCCCAGCTTTATTTAAAGGTGATAATACAGCCTGGCCAACATGGCAAAGCCTGTCTCTATTAAAAATACAAAAATTAGGCCGGGCGTGGTGGCTCATGCCTGTAATCCCAGCACTTTGGGAGGCCGAGGTGGGCGATCACGAGGTCAGGAGTTTGAGACCAGCCTGACCAACATGGTCAAACCCCATCTCTACTAAAAATACAAAAATTAGCCATGCATGGTGACACATGCCTATAATCCCAGCTACTCAGGAGGCTGAGGCAGGAGAATTGCTTGAACCCCAGAGGTGGAGGTTGTAGTGAGCCAAGATCATGCCACTGCACTACAGCCTGGGCGACAGAGCGAGACTCCGTCAAAAAAAAAAAAAAACAAAAACAAACACACACACACACACACACACAAAACCAAAAATTAGCTAGGTATTGTGGCACGTGCCTATAATGTGAGCTACTCGGGAGGCGGAGGCAGGAGAATCACTTGAACCTGGGAGGTGGAGGTTGCAGTGAGCTGAGATCGCACCACTGCACTCCAGCATGGGTGATGACAGAGCAAGACTCTGTCTAAAAAATATAAATAAATAAATAAATAATAAAGGTAATCATAAGCCTGAAAAGCATATATAATAATGAGGAGGGCAGTTATAATCTCTGAATAAATGGTCTATGAGCAATTTTTCTTTTTCTTATCCCCACTTTCTTTTTTCTTTTTTTTTTTTTTCTCATCCCGACTTTAAAAATAATTTCTATAGGCTGGGCATGGTGGCTCACCCCTGTAATCCCAGCACTTTGGGTGGCCGAGGCGGGCAGATCACAAGGTCAGGAGTTCAAGACCAGCCTGACCAATATGGTGAAACCCCATCTCTACTAAAAATACAAAAATTAGCTGGGCGTGGTGGCGGGCACCTGTAGTCCCAGCTGTTCAGGAGGCTGAGGCAGGAGAATCGCTTGTACCCGGGAGGCAGAGGTTCCAGTGAGCTGAGATCTCGCCAATGCACTCCAGCCTGGGTGACAGAGCGAGATTCCGTCTAAAAAAAAGAAATTGTTACAAAATAATTATGAGTACCGATTGAGGTAAGCAAATAAAGAGAAACTAAATGTCCAACATTAAAGACTTTGTTAAATAAATCATGAAAATCTATATGGACTGTTATGCCATCATTAAAACTCATGTTGTAGAAGAGTTTTCAATGCTTGGGGAAGTAACTGTTAGTATTTATTAAGTTTTATTGGAGGCAGGGTGCAGTGGCTCACACCTGTAATCCCAGCACTTCAGGAGTCCCAGGCAGGAGAATTACTTGAGCCCAGGAGTTCAAGTCCTGCCTTGGCAACATAGTGAGACCCCATCTCTACAAAAATAAAATTAGCCAGGCTCAGTGGGCACGCCTGTTGTCCCACCTACTCTGGAAGCTGAAGTGAATTACTTGAGTCTGGGATGTCGAGGCTACAGTGAGCCATGATTGTGCCACTGCATTCCAGCAGGAGAAACAGAGCAAGATCCTATCTGAAAAGAAAAAAAAAATGGCCGGGCGTAGTGGTTCACGACTATAATCCCAGCACTTTGAGAGGCTGAGATGGGTGGGTTGCTTGAACCCAGGAGCTCCAGACCAGCCTGGGCAACATGGCTGAACCCTGTCTCTACTAAAAATACAAAATTTAGTGGGGTGTGCTGGCGCAGCCTGTAGTCCCAGCTATTCTGGGACCTGAGGCAGGAGAATTGCTTGAGCCCAGGAGGTCAAGACTGCAGTGGGCCATGGTCTCACAACTGCACTCCAGCCTGGGAGACAGAGCAAGACCCTGTCTCCAAAAAAAAAAGTTTTTTTGGAGCACTGCCATGCTCATGCATTATATATTATATATTGCCTATGAAATGCTTTTTATTTTGCTACAATGTCTGGCATGAGTAGTTGCAATAGTGAGTAAAAATATTTACTGCAAAGCTTAAAATATTTACTATCTGACCCTTTACAAAAGTTTGCCAAGGCCGGGCATGGTGGTTCACGCCTGTAATCCCAGCACTTTGGGAGGCCGAGGTGGGCAGATCACCTGAGATCAGGAGTTCAAGACCAGCTTGGCCAACATGGCAAAACCCTGTCTCTACTAAAAATACAAAAATTAGCTGGGTGTGGTGGCGTGCACCTGTAATCCCAGCTACTCGGGAGGCTGAGGTAGGATAATCACTTGAACCTGGAAGATGGAGGTTGTAGTGAGGCAAGATTGGGCCAGTCTCAGTCCTGGGTGACGGAGGGAGACTCCATCTCAGGAAAAAAAAAAAAAAAAAGTTTGCCAAAAGTAGCAGCTGAGGGTTTGTACTGTTTATAATAGTGACATGAAGAAGGCTTTTATTTTATTTTATTTATTTTATTTTATTTATTTATTTTTTGAGACGGAGTTTCGCTCTTGTTGCCCAGGCTGGAGTGCAATGGCGTGATCTCAGCTCACCACAACCTCCACCTCCCAGGTTAAAGTGATTCTCCTGCCTCAGCCTCTCTAGTAGCTGGGATTACAGGCATGTGCCACCATACCCGGCTAATTTTGTATTTTTAGTAGAGACGGGGTTTCTCCATGTTGGTCAGGCTGGTCTTGAACTCCTGACCTCAGGTGATCCGCCTGCCTCAGCCTCCCAAAGTGCTGGGATTACAGGCATGAGCCACCGCGCCTGGCCTAGAAGGCTTTTATTAATCAGTGGAAGTAGCCATCTCCACCTTTGTCCACACTCCAGAACCTTCCTTAGGCAGTCAGTTGTCCTCCTTAACTTGTTTCCCTTCACAGTTATGGCTTGCCCTGAAAGACAGTGGGTAGGAAGTTAATTTTATGTTTATTATTCTTTAGAGGCAGAATCCTGTTACGTTGCCCGGCCGTAGTGAAGGCTACTCACAATCGCAGTCACTGTTCACTGCTGCCCAGAACTCCTGGGTTCCTGCGATCCTCCGACCTCAGCCTTTCAAGCAGATGGGACTACAGACACGTGCCACTGTGCCCAGCTTTGGCAGTACACATTTTAAAGTGCATTCCAGGTCTTGTATGCTCATGTTTATATATTTAGGTTGGTCCAAAAGTGTGGATTTTGCCATTACTTTCAATGGCAAAATAGCTCAGTAATATATTTTGTATTTAGCTTCCACAACAATCTCAAGACAGTGCTATGGTGACCCTAGTTTTACAGATGAGGACACTGAGGCTTATAAAACTTAGTTAATTTATTGGAAAAGTTTACAGCTTAGGAAGCGGCAGTAATAATAATTTTCTGTAATGTGTTCAGTAAGTGTTCTCACCACACACGCTGCCTCTCTGTGCCTCTCATGCTGTTTCACATGCTTTGTTTATTCTACTCTACATGACCCTTGGTCACTTCCTGTTAGGGGTGGGCCCTCTGATCCCACAAAGAAATCAAACATCAATTCTACACCAAGGTGAATAGCTAATTCTCTGCCTAACATGTACTAATGGGTCAACGCTAACCTCAGTTACCCATTTGACTCCTCGGCAACATTTTAATCCCAGTATATTTTAACCCTATTTTTCTGGGGCCTACGTTACTGCCTTTGTATATTTCAAATGGGACACTATTGGTGGACGTTCACAGTGGCAAGAGAGTGCAATGACAGGTTGAGAGGAATTTCTATTTAGACAAATGTGACTCCATTAAACTCACACTATGCAGACATTCACCTTTCCAAAGGGCACTCTTTTTTTTGTTGTTGAGGTGATGTCTCGCTCTGTTGCCCATGCTGGAGTGCAGTGGTGCGATTTCGGCTCACAGCAACCTCCGTCTCCCAGGTTCAAGTGATTCTCCTGCCTCAGCCTCCCGAGTAGCTGGGACTACAGGTGCGCACCACCACGCCCGGCTAATTTTTGTATTTTTAGTAGAGAGGGGTTTCACCACCCTCGCCAGGCTGGTCTCGAACTCCTGACTTCGTGGTTCGCCCACCTCGGCCTCCCAAAGTGCTGGGATTACAGGCGTGAGCCACTGCACCCGGCCCTCAAAGGGCACTTTTGTAATGCTGTGTGCGTTCAGTTTTACAAAGTGAAAAGTATTTTTTCCTTTGTACTTTTGTATTTGGGTATCTCATGCTGACTGCTGATGACAATTCATGACAAACTAAAGACCCATAGATAATGTTAAATTCAATGACAGCAGTTTCTATTTTTTTCCTTAGAGACAGGGTTCTTGCTCTGTCACCCAGGATGGAGTGCAGTAGCATGATCTTAGCTCACTGCAGCCTTGACTTCTGGGGTTCAAGTGGTCCTCCTGCCTCAGCCTCCCCAGTAGCTGGGACTAGAGGAGCACACCACCATCCCCAGCTAAATGTTTACATTTTAAGTAGTGATGGGCCAGTCTCATTATATTGCCCAGGCTGGTCTCGAACTCCTGGCCTCAAATGATCCTCCTGCTTCGACCTCCCAAAGTGTTGTGATTACAGCTGTGAACCACCACACCTGGCCAGCAG
Source organism: Homo sapiens (assembly GCF_000001405.40). NCBI lineage: Eukaryota > Metazoa > Chordata > Mammalia > Primates > Hominidae > Homo > Homo sapiens. The sequence goes on along the minus strand of NC_000012.12, from coordinate 31,354,523 downwards.
TGTTTCTCTGTGCCAAGCTTATTAGTAAATCTTGGTGCTGTTTCTTCCTCTTTCATGTAAAAGCTGCACCTACATTGTTCCTATTTTTATAGCCTTTTTTAGACTGTTACTTCGATTCAGACTTTTCCCTGCTTGGCACATTTAGTTTCTTCTGCTTTGAGGCCATCTTCATGTGACCACTCAGAACCTAGGGCAGGCCAAGAGGAAGAGAGTATAGGGTTCCCTTGCTAGCTTGGCTTTGAAGCAACATTGTCCAGTAACTATGCTTGCAGGAAGTATGCAAAATCCTTCTGTGAGCCCACAGATTTTACAGAGCCTTCAAGACCCAGTCAAAGCAGTCTTACGCGATTGCTGCTTTCCTGGAATAGCAAGTTTTAAATAGTAAATGACTGTAAAGAAACTCATTAGGGAAGGCATATTTTACCTCCTTTTCTGTCGTCATTACAATAGAGGATTCAATCAAGTTTAATTTATTCAGCCAGGTGCCCGTGGAAGCTGCCTCGTTTGTTTGGCTTTGTTTTCATGAAATCCCTCGTCACTTGTGTTCCGAGCGTCAGTGAGCTAATCCTGCCCCTCTGTCAGTTCCATGGAAGACAAAGGCCACTAACACAGAATCTCCACAATGAGAACGGGCAGAGAATCTATTAATGTGTCAGTTGCCTGTGAATTATGGCCAAGATAGTTGCCCAACATATGGCACAAGGTTATCACATTGTAAAAGCAACTCATTTGAAGCAAAGCATCCATGCACACAAACAGACACTCATAACTACTTAGGGGTACAAAAAAATTATACCCAAGGACAAGTATTCTTGGGCATTTGAAGAAACAACTACGTAATAGTAGAGTTAATCTATTGGGAGTATTTTACTTTCTGTAGGATAAAAATAAAGATAAAATAAAAATTACAGCAGCCATGAGGGATGAAGTGGGAAACAGCCATGTTTAGTCCTAATCCTCAATCAGAGGACACCTCTTAGGATAGAGGGACAGGGTCCGTAGGCAGGAAAGAGTGTTATCACCTGAATCCATTTTATTTTATTTTATTTTATTTTTTGAGACAGAGTCTCGCTCTGTTGCCAGGCTGGAGTGCAGTGGCAGGATCTCGGCTTACCGAAACCTCTGTCTCCCAGGTTCAAGCAATTCTCCTGCCTCAGCCTGCCGAGTAGCTGGGATTACGGGCGCCCGCCACCACGCCCAGCTAATTTTTGTATTTTTAGTAGAGACAGGGTTTCGCCATTTTGGCCAGGCTGGTCTTGAACTCCTGACCTCACGATCTGCCTGCCTCAGCCTCCCAAAGTGCTGGGATTACAGGTGTGAGCCACCGTGCCCAGCCTGTTTTATTTTTTATTTTTTTATTTTTGAGACAATGCCTTGCTCCGTCTCCCAGGCTGGAGTGCAGTGGTACCATCTCAGCTCACTGAAACCTCTGCCTCCCGGGTTCAAGCGATTCTCATACCTTAGCCTCCCGAGTAGCTGGGATTACAGGCATAAGCCACCTCGCCCGGCCCCTGAATCCATTTTATCCATGGAAAGGAACAAGCTGATATCATGGAGACAGCTATCATCTAGTCATCCAGCTTTCTGTTAGACACCTCCAGACAGGCCCAGGAAGGTTGGTCTTTGCCTTTGCAAATTCAGAATCTTAAACTAATTAGCAGCAAAGTTAACATATGTTTTATTTTATTATTATTATTTTTTTGAGACAGAGTCTCACTCTATTACCCAGGCTACAGTGTAGTGGTAAAATCATGGCTCACTGCAGTCTCGACCTTCTGAATGCGTGATCCTCCCTCCTTAGCCTCCTGAGTAGCTGGGACCATGGGCTCCTGCCACCACACCCAGCTCATTTTTAAATTTTTTGTAGAGACGGGGGTCTCACCATGTTGCCTAGGCTGGTCTCGAACTCCTAGGCTCAAGTGATGTTCCTGCCTTGGCCTCCCAAAGTGCTGGGATTACAGGTGTAAGCCACCACACATGGCCTAAACGTATCTTTTTGGGGGACACAATTCAAGTCATAAAGGCAATCTCATTATTTCTGCATGAACGATAGTGTAGTGGGCATCTGCTAACACTGCCTCACATCTTTTCTCTTCTGCTGGTACTGCACCTCCCTCCTCCCTTCCTACGGGAAACTCTTCCTCACCTTTCCAAACCTGTGAGTCCACACCCTTGGCCACACGGGACTGAGAGGTAACCCAAGCTGGGCATGTGACTGATCAATTAATGACCTTCCCTCAGATTTTTCTAAATAGACCTGTGGAGGAAGGCTCTTTCCTGTCTGGGATGTGGGACTTGGGCACAAAACCTTGGAACTGCAGCAGCTACATCCCCAAATATAACATGGAGAGAAGTTGTCTGAAAAAAGAGAAGATGAAGCCAACAGGAGGAGAGCAGCTGAGACGAGAGACAGAGGGCAGGAGCCGGATAGCTTAGAGGTTCTCGATTACAGTTTTCCTTAAGGTTTGGCCCTGGCGCATCCAGGGTTATGAGAATTAACCAGGTCTTCTTTGTGGTCAACTAGCTTGAATTGAGTTTTTGGAACAAAAACGGTCCTAGGACAAACCTGTAGCATAGTGAGGATGAAAGGGACAGAGCATTAAGTGGATCCTTGAGGGCTTTATCATTTGGGAAAGCCAGAGGAGAGACCCTGGAGACATACATCTTTCCAGAGGAGCAGAGGGCTGGGTGGAGAAGTGGACCCTGAGAAGTAGTTGGGGATCCTTCAGGAGCTGAGGCCTGTGGCTCTCTAAGAGAGCCAACATATCAGGAATTTGCGTGTTAAAGCTCAATTACAGCCTCTGTGGGACCTGAGGCTATTTAAATTAAAAATGAAAAGGCAAATTATCGGCCAGTGTGGTGGCTCATGCCTGTAATCCCAGCCCTTTGGGAGGCCAAGGTGGACAGATTATGAGGTCAAGAGATCAAGACCGTTCTGGCCAACATGGTGAAACCCCGTCTCTACTAAAAATACAAAAATTCCCTAGGCATGGTGGTGCGCGCCTGTAGTCCCACCTTCTCTGGAGGCTGAGGCAGGAGAATCACTTGAACCCGGGAGGCGGAGGTTGCAGTGAGCTGAGATCATGCCACTGCACTCCAGCCTGGTGACAGAGCGAGACTCTGTCTCAAAAAAAAAAAAAAGAAAAGAAAAGAAAAGAAAAGGCAAATTATCAAAAAGCTGGTTGGTGAGCCTAGAATCCCAGCCAGAGGGGTCTAAACAAGCTGACTATATTAGTCCATTCTCATGTTGGTAATAAAGACGTACCCAAGACTGTGTAATTTATAAAGGAAAGAAGTATAATTAACTCAGTTCCAGTATGGCTGGCGAGGCCTCAGGAAACTTACAATCATGACAGAAGGGGAAACAAAGGTGTCCTTCTTCACATGGCGGCAGCAAGAAGTGCTGAGCAAAGCCCGGGAAAATAATCCACTCACTATCACAAGAACAGCATGAGGGTCACTGCCCCCATGATTCAATCACCTCCTTCTGGGTCCTTCCCACGACATGTAGGGATTATGGGAACCACAGTTCAAGATGAGATTTGGGTGGGGACACAGCCAAACTATATAACTGACTTAAATATTTACTTGCATCAGGCTCTGATGTCTAGTTTCACCATCAAGTATGCCTATCAGGAGGACATTAATTTATTCATTCAACAATTATTAAAGGCCTACTATGTCTCAGGCACTTTGGTAAGTGGGGGTGGGCATACTGCAGTACACAAAAGACATGTGATTTGTGCTCCCAGGGAACTTTCAGTCTATGGGGAAAAAAGATACTGAACAAATTAACATATCAATGAATGTACAATTATAATTGCAAACTGTAGTAAACATTATGAATGAAAAGCTATGAGAAAGAAGGACAAGAAGGGATGTATTTTATTTTTTATAGAGATGGGGTCTTCCTATGTAACTCAGGCTGATCTGGAACTCCTGGTCTCAAGTGATCCTCCCACCACAGCCTCCCAAAGTGCTGGGTTTACAGGCATGAGCCACCATACCCAGCTGGACCTATTTTAGATTGGAAAGTTAAGAAAGGCTTCTCTGAGGGGAGAATATGGAGGCCTGAAGGCAAGTAGAAGTTAGCCAGGCAACTAGTGTATGGGGAAGGAGAATGGCAAAGCAAGGCAAGAGGAGGGAAGAGAATTCCAGGCAAAGGAAACAGTGTATGCAAAGGTCCTGTGGTCAGAAAGAGCTTGACTATAAATGAAGGAGAAGTGTGGCTGAAGCATAGTTAGGGAAGGAACAGAACGGCTTGAAAAGATCCTAGAGAGACAGGCAAAGGCCTGAGTAAGGATTCTAGATTCTACCCTAGTGCAATGGAAAGCTACTGAAGAATGTTAATTCTTGCTCTGAATTACCTTTAAAAAAGAGAATTAATGGAAGAAGGACAAAAGAGAAGAGAGACCAGTTAGGAGGTTATAGGCGATAGGTTAGGGCAGAGAAGATGCTAGTTTGGACCAGGTGATGGCAGAGAAGTATGGATTTGAGACATGTTGGAGATAGAACCGATGACACTAGACATGGTGTAGATGCAGTAGGTGACGGAGAGAGAGCTATCAAGGATGGCTTCCAGGTTACTGTCTTGTGCTTCTGGGAGTTGGTGGTGCCATTAGCTGAGTTGAGAAATAATGAAGGATGTTGCAACGAGAAGGGTAATGAAGATCAAAGACCGGCTTCAGTGTTAACATTTTAGGTGTCAGATGCCTGTAGGACTTCCAAGTGGAGATATTAAACACTAGTTGGATATATGTATCTCATGATATATGAAAAAACTAGGTTGGTGGTATAAATGTGTGAATCACTGAAAAAACCAATAGGAAGGGGTGAGACTGCCCAAGCAGAAAGTATACAATGAAAAAAGAAGAGGACCCAGGGACTGACATCAGAGGAACTCACTACATTTAATTGTTGCACAAGCCAGCAAGTTAACAAAGAAAATGGAAAAGGTACAGCCAGACAGGTGGCAGAAAATCCAAGAGAGTATAGTGTCACAGGTACCAAAAAGAGTGTTATAAGGAGCCACTGGCCACATGTGTGAATTGCTAACCTCCAGTACGATGAAGATTGAAAAATGTTGCCGGGCGCGGTGGCTCACACCTCTAATCCCAGCACTTTGGAAGGCCAAGGTGGGCGGATCACCTGAGGTCTGGAGTTGGAGACCAGCCTGACCAACATGGAGAAACCCCATTTCTACTAAAAATACAAAATTAGCCAGGCGTGGTGGCACATACCTGTAATTCCAGCTACTTGAGAGGCTGAGGCAGGAGAATTGCTTGAACCTGGGAGGCAGAAGTTGCGGTGAGCCGAGATCACGCCATTGTGCTTCAGCCTGGGCAACAAGAGCAAAAATCCTTCTCAAAAAAAAAAAAAAAAAGAAAGAAAAATGTTTATTGGGCTGGGCATGATATCTTGTGCCTGTAATCCCAGTACTTTGGGAGGCCAAGATAGGAGGAATACTTGAGCCCAGGAACTTGAGGTCAGCTTGGTCAACAGAGTGAGACCCCATGGCTACAAAAAATTAGCCAAGTGTGGTGACTTGCAACTGCGGTCCCAGCTACTCAGGAGGCTGAGGTGGGGAGCTGGCTTGAACCTGGGAGGTTGAGGCTGCCATCAGCCATGATCGCACCACTGCACTCCAGCATAGGTGACAGAGCAAGACTCCATCTCAAAAAAAAACAAAAAACAAACAAACAAACAAAATAAATAAACAGAAAAATTTTTACTGGATTTGGCCAACAGAAGTACTTCTGATGGCCATTCAAGAGCTTCCTCAGTGGAGTGGAGGGGGTACCACCATCTCCAAATGGCACTTGTGAGTTTCCTGAATTTGTCATTTGGGAATCTTTCATAGATCAATTGTCACTCCAAATTATTCAGCTCATGTCCTCACAAGTTCAAGGGAGACTAAGAAACAGTCTGGTTCCTGTGGACACTCAGACTAGTATTATGCATTTATTAACTGCAATTAGCCAGGAACAGGCTGATAAGATGACTCTTCTGGTTCTAGCACACAGAGTGAAGGGTAGAATAAAAGTTTCAGGCTGGGCTCACCCCTGTAATCCCAACACTTTGGGAGGCTTTACCTGAGGTCAGGAGTTTGAGACCAGCCTGGACAACATGGTAAAACCCTGTCGCTACTAAAAATAAAAAAATTAGCCAGGCATGGTGGCAGGCACCTGTAATCCCAGCTACTCGGGAGGCTGAGGCAGGAGAATTGCTTGAACCCGGGAGGCAGAGGTTGCAGTGAGCTGAGATCATGCAATTGTACTCCAGCCTGGGCAACAGAGTGAGACTGTCTCAAACATAAAAAAAAAAGGCTGGGCATGGTGGCTCAGGCTGGGTGCGGTGACTCATGCCTGTAATCCCAGCACTTTGGGAGGCCGAGGCAGGTGGATCACCCAAACTCAGGAGTTCAAGGCCAGCCTGGCCAACATGGTGAAACCCTGTGACTACTAAAAAAAAAAATACAAAAAATTAGCTGGGTGTGGTGGTGCACGCCTGTAATCCTAGCTACTTGGGAGGCTGAGGCAGGAGAATCACTTGAACCCAGGAGGCGGAGATTGCAGTGAGCCGAGATCGTGCCATTTCACTCTAGCCTGGGCAACAAGAGCAAAACTCCGTCTCAAAAAAAAAAAAAAAAAAAGAAAGAAAAGAAAAGAAAAAAGAAAGAAAGAAAGAAAAATAATGTTTCCTTGCCACTTTATTTTCTGAGTATAGTGTTTGAAGTTTAAGTGAGACCATGGGTACGAAACTCTCCTGGAGAAGGGTAAAGCCACGTTGCCCTGTGATATGTTACTTCTGGTGCTGGAAGGGAACTGGCAGCTCATTGTGCTATCTGGGAACTCAGGACCTGTGAGCCAGGACCTCATCTCCTCCGGGGCTGCTGTGCCTACCTGCACCCCCTAACTTCAGCACTACACTTATTAAATGGTCCATGTCTCTCTTATCACACCAAGGAGATTAAAGCCCAGGTTGATCCTCCCTTGTTGGCACTAAGTACAAAATGTCTTGGGGGACGTTCACTGCGTGGTTAAGCTGTCGGACTCCTCCACACACACTTAGTACAGACAAACTGGGAAGAGGCAACTCTTTCTCAGGAAATTATCTGGTATAAACTAAGTAGGTAAAATCCTGGTTTACAATGCAGATTAATGAAGCCTGCCATGTTTGAATTCAAAAGGTCCTGAGTAGGAGCCCATTTCCACCACTTACTAGCTGTGAGACTGGCAGTGTGTTACTTCATTTCTCTCAAGCTCATTTTGCTCAGTGATAAAATGAGGATGATAAGAATAATGCTTAGTTTACAGGGATAGTGTGAGGTAAGGAGATAAAGTAGATAACGTACTTGGTACTAGAGCCCAATAGCGAACATTCATTCTCTCCCTCCCTCAGTCCCACCTTAGCTGTAGGTCTGCAGCTGCATGTAGGAAAGTGGGTTAGAGACCCCTTGAGGTATGAAGAATCCAAGGGAAGTATTTTGGGAGAGGATGAAGTGCCACCAATCTGGATCTGGAGAGCCAGGGAGCTGTGGGCGTCCCTGAGGCTTGGTGCCCCAGGGGCTATGGAGAGTGGTCTGCATGTTTAGTAAGATTTGGACTGGAGGTTACAAAGCTTGTGTCACCAGTCATTTCTGACACATTAAATAAAGTCTGTCATATCGGCTTCTAAGTTCAAGGTTTTAATTCACCTTGGAGGACCAAAAAGCATTTTGCAGCTAGATTCGCTGCTGGGTGCTATTCTGTCTCCCATGCTTTTCATTTCTCAGAACCAGTTCATCGAGACTAAAGACTAATGCCAGTGCTGTTGGCTTGTCTGGAGAAAACAAAGCCATTAATGGTAGTTACCATATTAATTGCAGAAAGTGCTTCTTTAAGTTTCTGTTGGCAAGAAGTTACCAGTCTAACAAAGTAAGTGAAGTGCGTCCAGGCCAGGCGGGGTTTTTAATCTTCTTGCTTCAGGTTTTTGTTATTGCAGTTGCCAAAACGCCAAGCTTATAATTTACAAGTCGTATCCACATGTCCCTTAGAAAGAAACTCAAACCTAAAAATAGAAATGAAACTCAGGAAAACACCAACCCAGATAAATAAATCTTATGTCAAATGGAGAAAGCTTGTAAATCTGTGCTCGCGGTTACATTAATTGCTTACATTTCGATTGATTGAAGCAAGTGCCTTAACCAGTCAGCGTGTCCCTGCCCAAAGGAAGACGGCAATCCTCTCATGTTTCAGAAAAATTTCTCACATCATTTCTTGCTCTTTTTTCTTTTTCTTCTCTTTTCTTCTTCTTTTTTTTTTTTTTTGAGATGGAGTCTCGCTCTCGTTGCTCAGGCTGGAGTGCAGTGGCATGATCTCGGCTCACTGCAACCTCCATTTCCCAGGTTCAAGAGATTCTCCTTCCTCAGCCTCCTCAGTAGCTGGGATTACAGGCATGCACCACCACACCCAGCCAATTTTTGTATTTTTAGTAGGAGCAGGGTTTCGCCATGTTGGCCAGGCTGGTCTCAAACTCCTGACCTCAGGCGATCCGCCCGCCTCGGCCTCCCAAAGTGCTGGGATTACAGGCATGAGCCCCCAACCCAGCCACTTCTCAGTTTCTTAGATTCAGTAGCTAGGGCCTGCATATTAAACTCACAGAAGATACCTTAACAGGAGAAAAATAAAAAAGAGTTCACACTCACATGTGCAAGGTGTATACAGATGGGAGAATTCTGTGATGACTAATTCAAAGGGGTGGCTAGAATTTGGGGCTTATATGCCATCTTAATTGGTGAAGGGGAAGGAGAGAAAGGCACTTGTGAGAAAACAAATGACCATTTTGGAAAAATAAATGGGTTTTCAGGAGAACAAACAGGAGATAAGAAAGTTTGTGATAATGAGCTGGGTGCGGTGGCTCACACCTATAATCCCAGCACTTTGGGAGGCCGAGGTGGGCAGATCACTTGAGATCAGGAGTTTGAGACCAGCCTGGCCAGCATGGTAAAACACTGTCTCTACTAAAAATACAAAAATTAGCCGGGCGTGGTGGCGGGTGCCTATAATCCCAGCTACTTAGGAGGCTGAGGGCAGGAGAATCGCTTGAACTCGAGAGGCGGAAGTTGCAATGAGCCGAGATCGTGCCATTGTACTCCAGCCTGGGCCACAGAGCAAGACTCCGTCTCAAACAAACATACAAACAAACAAACAAAACCCAGAAAAATTAGCTGGGCGTGATGGCACATGCCTGTAATCCCAGGTACTCAGGAGGCTGAGGCAGGAGAATCTCTTGAACCAGGGAGGCGGAGGTTGCAGTGAGCTGATTGTGCCATTGCACTTCAGCCTTGGGCAATAAAGTGAGAATTTGTCTCAAAAAAAAAAAAAACTTTAAGAGAAAAACTGAGGTTTCCATTCTGCCTCGAGACCTCAAGACTGGAGTGTCACCTCCTGCCCAAGTTCTGAGCTTGCAGCCTGTCGGCCTGCCCTACAAATTTTAGACTTGTTCGCTCCTACAATTGCTTACTCTATATATCATATAGATATATAATAAGAGTGTATATATACTCCTACTGGTTCTGTTTCTTTGGAAAACCCTGAAAGACACACATCGCACTACTCTTTTTTTTTTTTTTTTTTTTTGAGACAGAGTCTCACTCCACTGCCCAGGCTGGAGTGCAGTGGTGCGATCTCAGCTCACTGCAACCTCCGCGCCTCCCAGGTTCAAGCAATTCTTCTGTCTCAGCCTCCAGAGTAGTTGCAATAACAGGCGTGCACCACCATGCCCAGCTAATTTTTGTATTTTTTTAGTAGAGACAGGGTTTCACCATGTTGGTCAGGCTGGTCTTGAACTCCTGACCTCGTGATCCACCCGCCTTGGCCTCCCAAAGTGCTGGGATTACAGGCGTGAGCCACCACGCCCAGACCACACTACTCTTTTTTTATTGTTGTTGTTTGCTTTTTTGAGTCTTACTCTCTGTTTCCCAGGCTGGAGTGCAGTGGTGCGATCTGGGCTCAATGCAACCTCTGCCTCCCAGGTTCAAGCGATTCTCCTGCCTCAGCCTCCCAAGTGGCTGGGACTATAGGTGCACACCACCACACCTGGCTAATTTTTATATTTTTAGTAGAGACGAGGTTTCAATATGTTGGCCAGGTTGGTCTCGAACTTCTGACCTCAAGTGATCTGCCCGCCTCGGCCTCCCAAAGTGCTGAGCCACTGCGCCAGGGCTGAGCCACTGCGCCAGGCCTGAAATATCCTTCTATCGCTCAAGACCAAGACCAAGTCATCCACCTTTGCTCCTAATTCTACTGGCTTTGGTTTGAATGTTCATGTCCTCCCCAAATTTATGTGTTGAAATCCTGACCCTTGTAAAAGAGGCTCAAGAGAGCTAGCTAGTCCCTTCTACTATGTGAGGGCACAGCAAGAAGTCTGAAGTCCACAATCCAGAAGAGAGCATTCACCAGAACCCAACAAAGCTGGCTCTCAGATCTTGGACTTCCCAGCCTCCAAAACTGTGAGCCATACATTTCTGTTGCTTATAAGCCACCCAGTATTTTATGGTATTATGTTATAGCAGCCCAAACAGACTAAGACACGACCGCATATGGTTTTCCTGGGGACCTTGCTTTTTCAGTCATATTCTCTTTATCTCTAGTTTCTTCCTCTCAACGCTTTCCATTTTTTATTTTTATTTTTATTTTATTTTATTTTATTTTTTTGAGACAGGGTCTCACTTTGTCATCCAGGCTGGAGTGCAGTGGCGTGATCTCAGCTCACCACAACCTCTGCCTTCCGAGTTCAAGTGATTCTCCTGCCTCAGCCTACCGAGTAGCTGGGATTACAGGTGCGTGCCACTACCGCCTAATTTTTGTATTTTTAGTAGGGACGGGGTTTCATTATGTTGGCCAGGCTGGTCTTGAAAACCTGACCTCAAATGATCTACCTGCATCGGCTTCGCAATCTTTTCATTTTTTCAAAAAATATTTACTGAGTTCCTATCATGCAGAATAGAATACAACCCTACGTCCAAGCCTATGAACATGTTCAAGTTATTCACACAATAAAACGTAACAAACACACTAACAAAAAACTTTCCTTGATCTTTCATTCCTCTCTAGCTTCTCTTCTCTCTCATTCCCTTCCCCAAATCAGATCTGATCATCCTCCTCCCAAAACCTGTTCATTTCCTAGCTTCTCAAACTTAGTTCACGTGACCACCATCAAGATTAGAAACATGGGAAGTGGGAGGATCACTTGAAGCCAGGAGTTAGGGACTGGCCTGGGCAACGTAGTGAGACCTCGTCTCTACATAAAAAACATTAGCCCGAGGGTCTGGCATGGTGGCTTATGCCATAATCCCAGAACTTTGGGAGGCCGAGGCGGGAGAATCACCTGAGGTCAGGAGTTCGAGACCAGCCTGGCCAACATGGTGAAACCCTGTCTCTACTAAAAATACAAAAATTAGCCAGGTGTGGTGGTGGGCACCAGTAATCCCAGCTACTCAGGAGGCGGAGGCAGGAGAATCGCTTGAACCTGGGAGGTGGAGGTTGCAGTGAGCTGAGATCACGCCATTGCACTCCAGCCTGGGGGATAAGAGTGAGATTTTGTGTCAAAAAACAAAACAAAACAAAAACATTAGCCTGGAGTGACAGAGCAAGATGCTGTCTAAAGACAAACAAATAAAAAACTCAGCCAACAAACAAACAAAAACCAAATTAGAACCACGGAAATTAGATCTCTTGCTCTCCTTCATATATGTTTAGTCAATAACCAAGTCCTCCTTTTCCCTCCTTAAAAATCTGCCTTGGTTTCCTAGATCTGTCCTCTTTATCCTTATCTAGTTATGGCCCTCAATAGTATTTTGACAAAACTATAGGAATACAATTTTAAGGAATCTGCTTGCCTGCAGTCTTATTTTTTTATCCGTCCTCTGTACTACATCTAGAATTACTTACACACATGAAACAAATCATGTCACTCCTCTGCTTAAATGCTTTTAACAGCTCCCTCTGCCTACAGCTTAAGTCCAAGTTCTTTAACATGGCTTACAGGCCCTGCATGACCTGGCCAGACTCATCCTCCAAAAATCCAATCATGCACTTGACACTGTAATAAATCTGCATGTTTCTTGAACATGGCATGCTTTTTAACATTTTTCCACTTATGGGCTTTTGCTTTTGCTCTTCCTGCAGCCTAGAAAACCCTGCCCATGTTTGTTCACCTGACAACTTCATTTTCATCCTTCCAGATCCACTCAAGCAGCACTTTCTCCAAACCTTCTCTGAATACTAGCTGGCCCAAGTATTCCAGCTCTGTGCTCCCTTAGTATCTTTCTTTCTTTTTTTTTTTTTGATACGGAGTTTCACTCTTGTTGCCCAGGCTAGAGTGTAATGGCGTGATCTCGGCTCACTGCAACCTCTGCCTCCTGGGTTCAAGCGATTCTCGAGCTTCATCCTCCTGAGTAGCTTGGATTACAGGCATGCGCCACCACGCTCGGCTAATTTTGTATTTTTAGTAGAGACAGGGTTTTGCCATGTTGGCCAGGCTGGTCTCGAACTCCTGACCTCAGGTGATCCGCCCGCCTTGGCCTCCCAAAGTGCTGGGATTAGAGGCGTGAGCCACCATGCCGGCCTCCCTTAGTATCTTATGCATACTTTTTTTTTTTTAATTGAGATGGACTCTCGCTCTGCTGGCCAGGCTAGAGTGCAATGGCGCGATCTCAGCTCACTGCAACTCTGCCTCCTGGGTTCAAGTGATTCTCCTGCCTCAGCCTCTTGAGTAGCTGGGATTACAGGTGGTCACCACCATGCCTGGCTAATTTTTGTATTTTTAGTAGAGATGGGTTTCACCGTGTTGGTCAGGCTGGTCTTGAACTCCTGACCTCGTGATCTGCCTGCCTCAGCCTCCCAAAGAGCTGGGATTACAGGCGTGAGCCACTGTGCCCAGCTGGTATTTACTTTTTACATAACTGTTATGTCTCCCTCTTGGGGCTGGAAGCCCATTAAGGATAGGAAGTATATTTTACTCTATTGTTTTTTAGACAAGGTCTGGCTCTGTCACCCAGGCTGGAATGCAGTGGCACTATCACAGCTCACTACAACCTCTGCATTGTGGGCTCAAGCGGGGAGGTCCTCCCCGCTCAGCCTCCTGAGTATCTGGGACTAAAAGCCCATGCCATCATGCCCTGACAATTTTTTAAAGTTTTTGTAGAGACACAGTCTCTCTATGTTGCCCAGGCTGCTCTCAAACACGGCCTCCTGCCGTGGCCTCCCAAAGTGCTGGGATTATAGGTGTGAGCCAACACACCCAGTCTGGGAAGTATATTTTATAATATTGTATATCCTTATCATATAGCAGAGTATGTGCACAAATATATTAATTAATGATATTATGAAATAATATTATTACGAAAAACAACTCAAGCATATACTTTACTAATCATGGGTCAGCTCTATAATCCTTATGTAATAAGAGCAGTCCATTTTGGATCAAATTTATGCAAAAATCTCCAGTGAGATTTCCAATGAGATTTCTTTTCTTTCGTTTTTGTTTCTTTTTATATATTTCCATTTTTGTTTGTTTCAACCCTATTAACTGATCTATTTATTATTATTATTTTTTGAGATGGAGTCTCTCTTGGTCGCCCAGGCTGGACTGCAGTGGCACAGTCTTGGCTCACTGCAACCTCCGCCTCCTGGGTTCAAGCGATTCTCTGCCTCAGTCTCCTGAGTAGCTGGGATTACAGGTGCCGGCCACCACACCTGGCTAATTTTCGTATTTTTAGTAGAGACAGGGTTTCGACATGTGGGCCAGGCTGGTCTCAAACTCCTAACCTCAGGTGATCCACCCACCTCGGCCTCCCAAAGTGCTGGGATTACCAGTGTGAGCCATGGCGCCCGGCCTGATCCAGTGAGACTTCTTATGATAATATGCAATATAAAACATTGAGAAAAGTGAAGCATCAGCTAATCTTACACACACACACGGGTTTTTGTTCTTATCAGAGTATTTGGCTACTAGGCAGATATATCACCAAAAATGATTCCTTGAATAGGCAATTCCTCAGACTAGGAATATCAGCCTTTATGGTGCATATGTGGTCCGTCCTGTTTGACCACATTCCAGCCGTGGTCCCCTTAAGTCTCCTTCCTCTTCACATATCAATTCATTCTTTCTCAAAGCACTGCCAGTAGGATCTAGTCCTGTTTCACTATCTTACAAGTTTCAGAGAATTTGAGGGAGCCAAGGCAAACTCTTTATCCTTCAAATATATCGTACAATTTTTAAGCAGATGTAATCTGGATAAAATTAGGGTAACTTTGAAGGCTGTCTCAATGTTTATTAGAAACAAAAAATAATAATAAAGAAGAAAATAAAAGTAAGAAAATTAGAGTAACCTTCAAAGAAAAAGAAAGGCCAGGCTGGGTGTGGTGGCTCATGCCTGTAACTCCACTCCAGTCACTTTGGGAGACTGAAGTGGGCCGATCGCTTGAGCCCAGGAGTTCGAGACCAGTCTGGGCAATATAGCAAGACCCCGTCTGTACAAAAAAAATTTAAAAATTAGCTGAACATGGTGGTGCATGGTGCTTATAGTCCCAGCTACTTGGGAGGCTAAGGTCAGAGGATCTCATGAGCCTGGGAGGTGGAGGTTGCAGTGAGCCGTGATTGTGCCACTGCACTCCAGCCTGGATGACAAGGCACGACCCTGTCTCAAAAAAAAAAAAAAAAAAAAAAGGAAAAGAAAGCACAGAGCTATTTTGAAAGGGCAGCTGCTAGCCTAAGCGATGACCTGATAAGCCTGGTCTCCTCATTTCTTACGGCTGTTTCTGAGCACACCTTTGTGGCACCTTTTTTTTTTTTTTTTTTTTTTTGAGACAGAGTCTTGCTCTGTCACCCAGGCTGGAACGCAGTGGCGGATCTTGGCTCACTGCAGCCTCTGCCTCCTGGGTTCAAGCGATTCTCCTGCTTCAGCCTCCTGAGTAGCTGGGACTACAGGCGCTTGCCACCACGCCTGGCTTATTTTTGTATTTTTAGTAGAGGCAGGGTTTCACCACATTGGCCAGGCTGGTCTCGAACTCCTGACCTCAGGTGATCCACCCGCCTTACCCTCCCAAAGTGCTGGGATTACAGGCGTGAGCCACAGTGCCCAGCCGGCACCTTTAATCCTCATAGTTCACCCACTAGCCACCCCCACATTGCTTAAACTACCTGATCCTCATAGTGTCTCTATTACCCAAACACTTAGACTTTTCTTCCAGTAAAGGCAGCTCTGATTCCATATTTGGATTTATAAAAATAATTAATGATTATGGATAAGTCAACAAATACTTATAAGGTATCTGCTTTTTCTCTTTTCTTTTCTTTCTTTTTAATTTATTATTATTATTTTTTGAGACAGAGTCTTACTCTCACCCAGGCCGGAGTGCAGTGGCACGATCTCGGCTCACTGCAACCTCCGCCTCCCGGGTTCAAGCAATTCTCCTGCCTCAGCCTCTCGAGTACCTGGGACTACAGGTGCACGCCACCATGCCCAGCTAATTTTTTTTTGTATTTTGTTGTAGAGACGGGGGTTTCACTGTGTTAGCCAGGATGGTCTTGATCTCCTGACCTCGTGATCCGCCCGCCTCGGCCTCCCAAAGTGCTGGGATTACAGGTGTGAGCCAGCACGCCCGGCTCTTTTTTTTTTTTTTGAGACAGGGAATTGCTCTGTCACCCACATTGCAGTGCAGTAATGCCATCACAGCTCATTGCAGTCTCGATTCCCTGGGCTCAAGCAATCCTTCCGCCTCAGCCCCCCAAGTAGCTGGGACCACAGGTGTGCACCACCATGCCCAGCTAATTTTTGTACTTTTTGTAGAGACGAGGTTTCACCATTTTGCCCAGGCTGGTTTGGAACTCCTGAGCTCAAGGGATCCACCTGCCTTGGCCTCCTAAAGTGTTGGGATTACAGACGTGAGCCACCATGCCCCACCTGGCATTTGCTATTTGAAGGCACTATGGAAATTCAAAGATGAATCAAGCTTGGATGAAGCTAGCTGTCCTAAGCCCTTAGTGTGCATCAGCATCAACTATGCAGGTTTAAAAATATGCAGATAGCCAGGTACCAAGTGTAGAAATTCTGATTCCTTCAGTCTGTGACATAAATGTGTTTTAAAAGATCACAGGTGATTTTTATGCCATCTATGGATTGAAATGATTAGAATCAGCTCTCATTCTCATACAGAGATGTGAGGCTGTACACAGATAAATGAAACATAAAGTAGAAACTAATATGTGCTTTCAGAGGCACTCACCAAGTGTTAGAAGAGTTGAGAGGAAGAAAGTATTGCTTCCTGTTTGAGCGATTAGGGCGAAGTCCATGGAGTAAAGTAGAATGAATTCCGAATGAACCAGGTCAGGAGGTGAGGTTTCTTATCTCATCTCCATCACTAATTTATGACACATGTGACACTGAATAAGCTTCATAACTGTAAAGGCCCATTTTTTCCTATGTAAATAGGAAAGACCAGCATCTATGTCAGGATTCTTGTGAAGATTATTGTGAAGGAAGATAAAATATGTGGGTGTGCAGAGCGATGCTGGATCCAGAGCTGGAAATCAATCCATGACCATTACTGACGTGAGCTGGCATTCGAGTCAGGCCTCGAAGGATGATGGGATTTAAACGATCAAAGATGAGGGGGAAGAGAGTTCTGGGTAGAGGAAAGAAGAGCTTTTATGGACTTCTTGGTTGTATATTTATTTATATAAGTAGGTACCTTTTTTTTTTTTTTTTTTTTAGAAGGAGAGCCTCGCTCTGTCGTCCAGGTTGGAGCGCAGTGGTGCAATCTCAGCTCACTGCAACCTCCGCCTCCTGGGTTCAAGCAATTCTTTGCCTCAGCCTCCCAGTAGCTGGGATTACAGGCGCCCACCACCACGCCTAGCTAATTTTCATATTTTTAGTAGAGACGGGGTTTCACCATCTTGGCCAGTCTGGTCTTGAACTCCCGACTTTGTGATCCACCCACCTCGGCCTCCCAAAGTGCTGGGATTACAGGCGTGAGCCACCATGCCCGGCCGTAAGTAGGTACTATTTACATGAGCAGGTAGTGTACAAGATACTGTGGAAGCTTTAAAGCCAAACCAGGTGTGAATCCTGGGTTCAAGAAGCTAACACTACCTCAGTAATTCATTTGTTAAACTAATACAAACACCGTTTTAAAAAAACTACCATTGCTTGTATTCCTAATGTGCTCTGTGTGTGTGTTTGAATTAATAGAGACAAGGTCTCACTATGTGGGCCAGGGTGGTCTTTGAAATTATGGCCTCAAGCAATCCTCCTGCCTCAGTCTCCTCAAGTGCAGGGATTACAGGCATGAGCCATCACGCCCAGCTTACATATTTTAATAGGGTTTTTTTCTACCTTTAAGTATTTTTATATTACTGGCCGGGTGTGGTGGCTCACACCTGTAATCCCAGCACTTTGGGAGGCCGAGGCAGGCAGATCACCTGACGTCAGGAGTTTGAGACCAGCCTGGCCAACATGGCAAAACTCCATCTCTACTAAAAATACAAAAATTATCTGGGTGTGGTGGCAGATGCCTGTAATTCTAGCTACTTGGGAGGCTGAGGCAGGTGAATCACTTGAACCTGGGAGGCGGAGGTTGCAGTGAGCCGATATTGAGCCACTGCACTCTAGCCTGGGCAACAAAAGTGAAACTCCATCTCAGAAAAGAAAAAAAAATTATATTACCAAAATGACCAAAGCTCATAAAATCCCAAAGAGGGGGCCGGGGGTGGTGGTTCACGCTTGTAATCCCAGCACTCTGGGAGGCCAAGGTGGGTGGATCACCTGAGGTGAGGAGTTTGAAACCAGCCTGGCCAACATGGAAACCCCGTCTCTACTAAAAATACAAAAATTAACCGGGTGTGATGGCGGGCGCCTGTAATCCTAGTTACTCCAGAGGCTGAGGCAGGAGAACCGCTTGAACCTGGGAGGCGGAGGTTGCAGTGAGCCGAGATTGCTGCCACTGCATTCCAGCCTGCGAGACAAGAGGGAAACTCCATCTCAAAACAAACAAACAAACAAACAAAAACCCGAAGTGGGTAAAATTATATGAAATAAAAGTAACTCCTGCCCACTTTCTTTCTTACTTTTATCCTCAGAAGCAACTGTGATTAACACTGATATGTCTCCTCTCTGCAATCACTTTTTATGTGCAAACACATGATATATATGCATGTGTACATATATTACATGTATGTATATATTACATATATTCCTTTTTGCCCCTCAAATGAAATCACACTTTACCTACTGTTCTGCAAATTGCTTTTTTGTTTTGTTTTGCTTTTTTTTGAGACAGGGTCTCATTCTGTCCCCCAGGCTGGAGTGCAGTGGTGCAATCATGGCTCACTGCAACCTCCGCCTCCCACATTCAAGAGATCCTCCCACTACAGCCTCCCAAGTAGCTGGGACTATGGGCCTGCGCCACCACTCCCAGCTAATTTTTTTTAAAAAGTTTTTTTGTAGAAATGGGGTTTCACCATGTTGCCCAGGCTGGTCTCAAACTCCTGGGCTCGAACAATCCACTCACCTCGGCCTTCCAAAGTGCTGGGATTACAGGCACAAGCTACCACGCCCAGCTTGCAAATTGCTTTTTTTTTTTTTTTTGAGACAGAGTTTTGCTTTTGCTGCCCAGGCTGGAGTGCAATGGTGTGATCTCGGCTCACCGCAACCTCTGCCTCCTGGGTTCAAGTGTTTCTCCTGCCTCAGCCTCCTGAGTAGCTGGGATTACAGGCATGCGCCACTATGCCTGGCTAATTTTGTATTTTTAGTAGAGATGGGGTTTCTCCATGTTGGTCAGGCTGGTCTTGAACTCCCGACTTCAGGTGATCTGCCTACCTCGGCCTCCCAAAGTGCTGGGATTACAGGTATGAGCCACCGTGCCCTGCCTGCAAATTGCTTTTTATCCATTTAATATGTTGTGACTATCTTTCTATGTCAGCATATATAAAGCAGACTTATTCTCTGTAACAGTGGTATAGAATTCCATTTAGGTGTTCCATCATTTAAAAAGTGGTCAATTCAATTTACATTAAAATAATGCATTAAGTGGCCAGGTGCGGTGGCTCACACCTATAATCCCGGCACTTTGGGAGGCCAAGGTGGGTGGATCATGAGGTCAGGAGATTGAGACCATCCTGGCTAACATGGTGAAACCCGTCTCTATTAAACAAAATACAAAAATTAGCCAGGCGTGGTGGTGGGCACCTGTAGTCCTGGCTACTTGGGAGGCTGAGGAACCCGGGAGGGGGAGCTTGCAGTGAGCCGAGATGGTGCCACTGCACTCCAGCCTGGGAGACAGAGCAAGACTCCATCTCAAAAAAACCCAATAATAACAATAATAATGCATTAAGTTACAAAGTTTAGAAACAATTTTATTATTCTAAAACTATTATGAATAAAGTTCAGCATCTTCTTTTTTTTTTTTTTTTTGAGACAGAGTCTTACTCTGTCTCCAGGCTGGAGTGCAGTGGTGTAATCTCAGCTCACTACAACCTCTGCCTCCTGGGTTCAAGCAATTCTCCTGCCTCAGCCTCCCAAGTAGCTGGGACTACAGGCGTGTACCACCACGCCCAGCTAATTTTTGTATTTTTAGTGGAGACGGGGTTTCACCATGTTGGCCAGGATAGTCTCGATCTCTTGACCTCGTGATCTGCCTGCCTCAGCCTCCGAAAGTGCTGGGATTACAGGTGTGAGCCACTGCGCCTGGCCAAAACTATTATGAATAAAGTCCAGATCTTCTTACATGTTTATTTCCATTTACATTCTTTTGGGTAAACTAATTTCACTGATACTTTATCACTTCTACTTTACTGATATTAAGAAAGTATTGGGTCTGGTGTGGTGGCTCACAACTGTAATCCCAGCATTTGGGAGGCCGAGGCAGGAGGATTGCTTGAGCCCCAGGATTTCAGGACCAGCCTAGTCAGCATGGGAAAACCTGTTTCTACAAAATATACAAAAATTAGCCTGGCATGGTGGGACACACCTGTAGTCCCAGCTACTCCAGAGGCTGAGGTGGAAGGGTCACTTGAGGCTGGGAGGCAGAGGCTGCAGTGAGCCGAGGTCACACCACTGTACTCCAGCCTGGGCGACAGAGCAAGACTCTGTCTCAAACAACAACAACAACAAAGAAATTATCCCCTTATCTTGCAGTGTTTTTGTTTTTTTTTTTTAATAGTTTGACTTTTTGGTCTTTATATGGTATTTTCTCCTATTTTACAAATTTTATATTTTTATGTAGTTAAATTTATTAATCTTTCAAGTCCTTTGAGTTCCCTCACTCCATGCTAAAAACATTATTTGATATAAATATTTAATTTTTGAGACAGGGTGTCGCCATGTTGCCCAAGCTGGCCTTGCACTCGTGGGCTCAAACCATCCTCTCACCTCAGCCTCCTGAGTAGCTGGGACTACAGGCATGTGCCACCACACCCAGATAATTTTTGGATTTTTTGTAGAGATGGCATTTTGTCATGTTGCCCAGGCTGGTCTTGAACACCTGAACTCTAGTGATCTGCCTGCCTTGGCCTCCCAAAGTGCTGGGATTACAGGTGTGAGCCACCATGCCTGGCTGAAAGTTTTTAAATTAACTGTCAGCAATATATTAAGTTCTCCTGGCCAGGCATGGTGGCTCACACTTGTAATCCGAAGACTTTGGGAGGCTGAGGTGGGAGGGTTGCTTGAGGCCAGGAGTTGGAAACCAGCCTGGGCAACATAGCAAGATCCCATCTCTACAAAAAAATATAATAATAATTAGCTGGGTGTGGTGGTGCATGCCTTTAGTCCCAGCTATTCTGGAGGCTAAGTCAGAAGGACCACTTGAGCCGAGGAATTAGAGGCTGCAGTGAGCTATGATTGTGCCACTGCAGTCCAGCCTGGGTGACAGGGTGAGATGTTGTCACTAAAAAAAATTAAATCAATAAGTAAGTTCTTCCAGATTCCTCAATATTTTATCACCAAAGCTTTTAGAAATGGCAATGCAGCATGTCTCTTTGACTATTATGTGTCCACTCATTCACTTGTTCATCATCTGTTGATGATGTAGCATGCTTGCCTTTAGTGATGCCTTGAATAGTTAGAACAGTGGGTTTTCCAGGAAGTGAACTCTATGTCTGGGGGATCAGCTTCTTTTTTTCTTTCTTCTTCTTCTCCTTCTCCTTCTTCTTCTTCCACTTCTTCTTCTTCTTTTTTTTTTCTTTTTTTTTTTTTTTTTTGAAACAGAGTCTTGCTCTGTCACCCAGGCTGAAGTGTGGTGGTGCTATCATAGGTCACTGCAACCTCAAACCCCTGGTCTCAAGCGATTCTCTTCCTTGGCCTCCCAAAGTGTTGAGATTACAAGCCTGAGACATTGCACCTGGCCTGGGGATAGCGGTGGGGATCAACTTCTTATTGACATTTAGAAAACTAAATTTTGGTAGAAGAAACATACATTGATTAAACCATTTGTAACCTAATTATAGGGGTTCATCTCTGAGGTATGCTTTTGGCATGCAATTACGTCCAACTCCGATGTAACTTCCAAATTCACAGGGCTTAAATCTCTGTCTCCAACACCTGATACCATCTTTTCCCTCAAACAGGACTCATTTGCAATCTTTTATTCTGACTTTTATTTAGTCAAAGACACATTTTTTTCTCTTAGTCTTGTCTTTTTCTAACACCCGTTGTTCCTGAAGTTGCCACTGGTTCAACACTCTTTCCCTCTCTCCCACTTCTCCATCGAATCCTACTAATATCTCAATGTCACTTCCTCAAAGAAGCCTTCTCTTACCTCCAGATTAGATCTGATCCCCTTGCCATACATGGTTAAGTCCCTGGTACTTACTTTTTTTTTCTTTTATTTCTCACACTTTATTCTGTGGCCACAGTGATGTAAACACCTCATGACCTTGAGACATTATTGATGGTATCACTAGTCTATTCCGTGCAATCAAAGATTCATAAAATTCAACAGGAGTTCAGAGAGGTTAGCTAGCTTCATATTGTAAGTAATGCAATTCATTGAATGAATTTTTAAAAGCATTATCTTGATTTTATCTGTTTGTTTAGTGATGAGGAGCTGCCTTTGGAAGTATCCTGAACCATCCTTGGACTATTTGTATGTCTGGGAAATTTTATCATGTTTAGCATCATTCTTTTGATTTTCAAGACTAATTTTGTTCCAAAGGATAAAACAAGTCCATCCCTCTACTAAGGACAATCCTTCAGATAGTCAAAGATTGCCCTCTTACTCAATCGAAACACAGCCTTCCTTCTATTATTGCTTTTATGCTATGGTTTCCATCCTTCCTCATTGTCCTGATTTACCCTACTGTGAACTCATTCTAGTTTTTCAATATTCTTCTTAACGAAAAATTATTTTTGTTACTGGTAATTTTATTTTTTAAAAGCATGCTGGCCGGGTGCAGTGGCTCATGCCTGTAATCCCAGCACTTTGGGAGGCCGAGGCGGGCGAATCACCAGAGGTCAGGAGTTTGAGACCAGCCTGGCCAACACGGTGAAACCCTGTCTCTATTAAAAACACAAAAATTAGCAGGGCGCAAAAATTAGGGGTGCGCGCCTGTAGTCCCAGCTACTCGGGAGGCTGAGGCAGGAGAATCGCTTGGACCTGGGAGGCAGAGCTTACAGTGAGCCAAGATCATGCCATTGCACTCCAGCCTGGGCAACAAGAGCAAAACTCTGTCTCAAAAATAAATAAATATATAAATATAAATAAATAAATAAAATCATGCTGTTCAAATGTCATAAGATACTATTATAAAACAAGATTTCTATAAGTTCAGGATACTCTAAGAATAAGTTTTTGATAATTCTTTAAGCTTTTATGTCCAGAAATTTGAAAAGTTAATTTTGATTAAGTAATAAATAACTTTTTCTGGCAGCTGTCGACACTTGTTGGAGGATTGGGGTAACTTAGATGGCATAATCCAGGCTATACCTTCGAGTGTAAACTTATCTGCCTTGCTCTGACGGCTTGCTATTTGAACTTCAAAGAGATTTAAACAAATTATTAAAACACTGTACTTGTTTTGTTGTGAGAAAAAGAGGAACCAAACCCTATGCTTAATAATAATCATCAGCTCTTTCCTGGGTTTGGCAAACATGTTTTCATGTGGTTGGTACCAGCCGCTGATGAGGGTATCTGCCTTTATTTTAAAAACAATCATTAGTTTGTCATTACAAACATGACTAAATTGCTAGCAATGTCCTTCATAATCAAGCAAGATTTGTCCTCTTCTACAATCCTTTATATATAATTTATCCTCCATTCCAAGAATATTAAATTCTAAAGTGGCTGACAATAAATCTCAAAAGAAGGCAACACATTCTACGGAAGAAAAAGGAGCAAATAAAATAGAATTATATAGAAATGAATTAGAGAGGCTTGAGCCCCTCAAGTTCTGAAATGATTTCACTATCTGGCACATAGTGATGATCATTAAATGTTTGCTAAAGGAATAAAAATTCAAGCGTTAGGGATAATTCTACAGCGAGACATACATTATAAGAAAGTAGTTAGCTTTCAACTTCAAAATGTTTGAAAACTACTTATGAGTTCAACATAGCATTGTAGTCATTAAAAAATACTCAGGGCAGGGTGTGGTGGCTCACGCCTGTAATCCTAGCACTTTGGGAGGCCAAGGTGGGTGAATTACCTGAGGTCGGGAGTTTGAGACCAGCCTAACCAACTATGGAGAAACCCCATCTCTACTAAAAATACAAAATTAGCCGGGCATGCAGGCTCATGCCTGTAATCCCAGCTACTCGGAAGGCTGAGGCAGGAGAATCGCTTGAACCCGGGAGGTGGAGGTTGTGGTGAGCCAAGATCGTGCCATTGCACTCTAGCCTGGGCAACAAGAGCAAAACTCCTTCTCAAAAAAAACAAACAAAAACAAAACAAAACAAAATCCGCAGATATTTTCCTAGCATGATGTAATTCAATCTCTTGTAATACAAATTGATATATTATAAATTACTTCTTGTATTTCCTTCTTTCCTTTTTCACGTTGAAAAATTCACTTGGGCAATTTAGGTAGTAGTAGTTAAAAGTAACCCATACATGAGCTATTGGGCCTGGGTAGGGCCATCCATAATGACATGTTCAAGCAACAAACTGGACAAAAGAACCTTCGGAATGCACTTGGTTGTTCAAAAATAGCAGGTGGTTGCTTTAAAAAAAAAGACTATGGAATTCCGATTTTTCTTTGAGAATTTTGTTTATTGCAATAGGATTATCAAAGAAAAATTAAAAAGTAATAAAAAATTTTAAAAAAGAATTTTGTAGCTACCCTTCCTAAAAAACTTACCCAGATTACTTCTTGACCTATACTTTGAGAGCAGAGGAAGTCTGGCTACATTAACTCAGTAGCTCTGCAACTTCTAGGTACTTTTTTACCTGAACGGTGTATCCTAAGTACTGTAATTCCTGCATTGCTTGCACATTTGCGTTTATTATTCCATCCCTGTATTACAATAAAATTTTTTTTTTTTTTGAGATGGAATCTTGCCCTGTTACCCAGGCTGGAGTGCAGTGGCGTGATCTCGGCTCACTGCAACCTCTGCCTCCCGGATTCAAGCAATTCTCCTGCCTCAGCCTCCCAAGTAGCTGGGATTACAGGCACGTGCCACCATGCCCGGCTAATTTTTTTGTATTTTTAGTAGAGACGAGGTTTCACCATATTGGCCAGGCTGGTCTCAAACTCCTGACCTTGTGATCCACCCACCTCGACCTCCCAAAATGCTGGGATTACAGGCAGGAGCCACCGCGTCCGGCCACAATAAATATTCTTTACATAAACTTTCAAGAGAAAAAGCATTCAAGGTACGTGTGTGTGTGTGTACACACTTACATATATGTATATATATACTCCTGTAAACCATAATTGGAGTTTAAAAAATATTATTATGGTATTTACAATTTTCTTTCTTTTCTTTTCTTTTTTTTTTGAGATGGAGTCTCGCTCTGTCACCCAGGTTGGAGTGCAGTGGTGTGATTTCAGCTCACTGCAACCTCTGCCTCCTGGGTTCAATCGATTCTCCTGCCTCAGCCTCCCAAGTAGCTAGGACTACAGGCGTGCACCACCATGCCCGGCTAATTTTTTGTATTTTTAGTAGAGACGGGGTTTCACCATGCTGTCCAGACTGGTCTCAAACTCCTGACCTTGTGATCCACCCGCTTCATCCTCCCAAAGTGCTGGGATTACAGGCATAAGCCACCGCGCCTGGCCAGTATTTGCAGTTTTCATACCTTCAGAGGCATATAATAATTTGAAATTATTTTTGGAAGATCTGTCATAAGCCAAATAAATATTTGAGACAACCCAGGACAATTGTTAAAATTCTCTTTAGAAAGAAGGCAGAAATTTATGATTAGGGTCCAATTTGCCACCAGTGGAACACAGAAACAGCTATTAAGCTTATTCATTTTTATTGTCATAAGGACAGGGCTGGCATATCAACCAATGTGACCACTATAACTTCCAAACTCATTTTAGGTCAAATGCAAAAATTGTAAACTAAAGTTCTGATTAGCGATAAACCTGTAAGAACCTTGAAAATGTCCATTAATTTTTTAAAATTATATTTATATATTTATTATTATTATTATTATTTTGAGACAGAGTTTAGCTCTTGTTGCCCAGGCTGGAGTGCAATGGCTTGATCTCTCGGCTCACCACAACCTCTGTCTCCTGGATTCAAGGGATTCTCCTGCCTCAGCCTCCCAAGTAGCTAGGATTATAGGCATGTGCCACCACGCCCGGCTAATTTTGCATTTTTGGTAGAGACGGGGTTTCTCCATGTTGGTCAGGCTGCTCTCAAACTCCCTACCTCAGGTAATTCACCCACATTGGCCTCCCAAAGTGCTGTGATTACAGGCGTGAGGCACTTCGCCTGGCCATTATTATTATTTTTTGAGACAAGAGTTTCACTCCGTCACCCAGGCTGGAGTGCAGTAGTGCGATTTCGGCTCACTGCAACCTCAGCCTCCCAGATTGAAGTGATTCTTGTGCCTTAGCCTCCCAAGTAGCTGGAATTACAGGTCTGTGCGAAAATGCCCAGCTAATTTATATATTTATTATATATATATATATATATTTTTTTTTTTTTTTTGAGACAGAGTCTTGCTCTATTGTCCAGGCTGGAGTGCAGTGGCGTGATCTTGGCTCACTGCAACCTCCGCCTCTCGGGTTCAGGCAATTCTCCTGCCTCAGCCTCCTGAGTAGCTAGGATTACAGGCATGTGCCACCACATCTCAGCCTCTCGAGTTGCAGGGATTACAGGTGAGTGCCACCATGCCCCACTAATTTTTGTATTTTTAGTAGAGACAGGGTTTCACTATGTTGGCCAGGCTGGTCTTGAACTCCTGACCTCAGGTGATCCACTTGCCTTGGCTTCCCAAAGTGCTGGGATTACAGGGGTGAGCCACCATGCCCGGCTAATTTTTATATTTTTAGCAGAGGCAGGTTTTCACCATGTTGGCCAGGCTGGTCTCGAACTCCTGACCTCATGTGATCTGCCTGCCTTGGCCTCCCAAAGTGCTAGGATTACAGGTGTGAGGCGCTGTGCCCAGCCGTTTATTACATTAAAAAAAAATTTTCCTAGCCAACTAATGCATGCAAGATGTCAGTATATATTATCTGATGTGCACTGTGTCAGGCACTGGAATACAAAGATGGGTAAGAAAGGCATAAAATCCTTGTCTTTAAGGAGCTCATATTTTAATGAGAGGTGTCCTTTTTCTTTCTGTTTTTTGTTTTTGTTTTTGTTTTTGTTTTGAGACAGTCTTGCTCTGTCGCCCAGGCTGGGGTGCAGTGGCGCAATCTCTGCTCACTGCAACCTCCGCCTCCCAGGTTCAAGCGATTCTCCTGCCTCAGGCTCCCGAATAGCTGGGATTACAGGTGCCCACCACCACGCCAGGCTATCTTTTCAGGTATTTATAATATAGTTTTCATATACAGTTACAGGAATAGTATGTTACAGAACCTAAAGAAAAATAAAGAAGTATTAGTTGAGGAGTTCAGAAGTGGGTTTATACTGTATGTACTAGGAATTGCCTGTTGAATTAAATTAACATTTCAGAAGTAACTATTTAAATCTGTATTGTTGACACTGCAGTGAAAGCAGCGAAACGTGTCAGCAGATGATTAAGTTTTATGGTTGATTTTCACACTTTTGTAACTTGGGACCAATATCAAGTTTCTGGGAAAAACATCCTTCCTCTCTCCCCACCCTCTATCATTAACCCCGGGTTTCTGCCTGTTGGTGTTAAGTGTGTCCTTGGGACAAAGGCGAATCAATCATTCGGTTTTCATTTTCCTCTTATCAATCTGAGAAGAGTTACTTCAGTTTTTTTCTTCCGGAGTCTAGAAAGCGCTTAGATTGTTGAATTATTACATATTCTGCATTGAAAAGTCTGTACGTCACTCGTTATTTTTTCCATTCCCAAGACCACCAGTTACTGGAATTATTTCTGGGTGAGTGGAACACCCTTTACAAGCTGCTAGAGGAGGTATGCCTGTCCCTAGGTTATTGGCTTTCCAATGCCTAGTCTTTTAAAGAAAGCGGCACTGTTCCCACGGAAATTAACAATCATTCAATTCGGAGAGACTTGAAATCTTAAGGCCGAAGTGGAGGAAAAAACTGGATTGTTATGGGTTGGGTTACTATTTGAGAAGGGCAAGCGGGAGTTAGCGAATGGCTAGGGTGTTAAAATGGGACTTTATTAAACGACTCATTACAACTGCACAAAAACTAAACCTTTGCTGGCCCCAGAGGATTTTTTTTTTACAAGCTTCAAAAACCTAACTTCAAACAAAATTTAGGAAACGTGGGATTAGTATAAATTCAGTCTGGGTGCTTACAAGACCACCTCCTCTGTCACCGACAGTGGGGACAGGTGTGAGAATTTTGCAAAAGCAGCTTTCAGAACAATTTTTCAGCGCTCAATGGTGCCCCTAACAACTTCGGGGGCGGAAAACACGCCAAGCAGCGCAGCCCTCCCCTCAGTTGCTAACCTTTCCCTTTCCCACCTCGCCTCTCCCTCTCCGCCGCGGCCTGCAGCCGGGGGGGGGGGCGTTTGTTTATGTGACGTCCGCCGTAGTAAGCAGTCCCCGCCCCCGTTTCCCTCTGGCCGCCGCGTTTCCCGCGCCGCGGAGCTTCTCCCCTTAAAAGGACAATAGAGGCCTCGGGAGCGCGCGCGGTCGCCGGGACTTCTCCCCCTCCCAGCCCGCAACGTGCGCGCGCCCGTATGCAAATAAGTTCGATTCAAGAGAATTTTGTGCCGGGAGCCGCGCGTGCGCAGAGGGAAAGCGGAATCTACACCTTCCCGGCCAGCGGTAGCAACTGCAGAACTGCAGGAGACTATCTTTCTAGACAAGGCAGTTGAGGAGGAGGGAGCGCTTGAGGGGGACTGGCCTGGCGTGCACTCCGCACCTCGGGGACATTATTGCGCGTGGAACGGCTGCTTTTGGAAGGTGAGTGACTCTCACCATGCTTCTAGTGCAAAACTGTCTCACGAGGCTTTGATTTCAGTGTTTTTTTTTTTCTCTTTTCACCTCCACCCACCTCCCCCCGTCCTTCCACATACACACAGGAAGTTTTGTCTTGGAGGTGGCATTGTTGGGAGCGCTGTTTTCGTGATCTTCAGACCCCAGGTTCTTTGGTACGCTCGTGTTTAGTGTGTATTTATTAATTGGGGAGGGTATTTGAGGCAAACCGAAAGTCTCGGGGCGGGGAAGTGAGTGGAGCCTGGGCATAATTGAGGAGTCGCCGGAGTTGAGGGATCCACGTTGAAGGTGACAATGACTTTTCTCCGCCGCAGTGTTCTCTCGCGGAAAGGAGCCCGGCGGCCGAAAGGCCCGAGAGGAAAGCGACTCGTTGGCCACCGCGCAGCGGCCGGGGTCGGTGCGTCCGCGTGGGCGCGAGGCGCGGGCAGGGTCGGGCGCCGTTGTGAAACCTCGTGGTTTAGTTGACTGCAGCCCTCGGACTAGGGTGGACAATAAACGCCATTCGCTCGGAAACTAAGTTGCCATCCGCTTCCGAGCTGGCGGCCGAGGGTCTTTAAATCGGCCTTTGGGGGTCAGTGCTGGGCTCTGCCGGAGCGCACGCGGCGTGGCGTTGTTTGCTCAACTCCGGAGGGATGCGGATGCGACAATGAGAGCAACACGCGGTCGCTTAAAAACAGCCCGTCTTCCACTCGCCTGCCCTCTTCGGACCGCGCCCAAGAGCCTCTGGTGTCCGGGGTGCTTTCGGAGCCCGAAGTTTTGCTCCCGGTGCGTTCACCTGTAGCGTAGGTGTGGGCGACACCGCGAGGGCTTCCCGTTTATGGGCGGCCGTCCGCGCTGTAAGATGGCCAGGGAAGCCAACTTGGCTGGAGATGGAGGCGGCGGCGTTGTGTACGCCGCGGGAGTCAGTGAACTCCGCAGGGCACTGCTTTTTGTGCTCTACGTGACAGACCACGTGCTTCGGGCTGCGACCCTGGTCCTTGTCCGAATGTCCAGCCCCGCGTGAGCCGTGGGATGCGGCCGCCGTCGGGCAGGTCCGGCCGGCAGGACAATGTGGTTTGCTGATGATGGCGTCTTGCCAGTTTAAAAAGCAGAGTGAAAGTCGCCAACTCTCCGCCCGTGCGGGGCGGATACTCCGGGCGTTTCTCATCAAGGACACTGCAAAACTTTGATTAAATGGGCCTGCTCCCGAGGGGAGGGTCGGGGGGCCAGGCTCCGGACTCTTCGGGGCGCGGGGTCCGGACCCCTACCCAGGGTGATCGTCCAGTGTCCGGCCCCTGCGAAACGCTCCGACATCCCTGATGCTGCACGTAGGCAGCGCCCGGCTGGACAGAAAACAAAGGGCTGCATGTGCCCGTGCGGGCCCCCGGCGCTCGGGGCCGCCGCCTGGGCGTAGGGCCGTGCAGGTCGGAGGCCCTCGAAGTTCGGGCGAGTTTCGGGAGGGGCTTTTGTCCCTCAGCCCCCTCGTGGGGAAACTTTGGCGGCGCTACTTGTGCGAGGTGCCATGCTGGTGCGTAGGGAGGCGGCGTGCTTCCCCGCTCCGGGCGTGCGGGCGGGCGACCGAGGGAGGCGGCAGTGCCCGGCGCTTCAGCCCTGGCGTCGGGGGTTGCGACGGCCGAGGGTTCCGGGGAGCTTGGCCCGGACTGCTCGGCCGGTTTCTCGTGGCCCGGGAGCCTGTGTCTGGGAGGTCTGTGGGTTCGCCTTTGAAGTCGAACTGTTGCCATGTTTGAATTACGTCAGGGCAAAGCCATGAGGAGGAACAAGCCCCGGCAGCGCGGCGTGCGGGAGGCGCGGCCTGCGGGAGGCGCCGGGCCGGGCTGGCGCGGGGCCCGTTGTTCCGGCGCAGGTGAGGGAGGTGGCGGCGAGCGACGCGGTTCACCTCCCGCTGCCCTCGCCCTCGCCCCGGCGAGCGGCCCCCGCAGGAACTTTCCTCCCGACGCGAGATGTCTTATTTACCAACAAATCCACCAGGGAGCATTCTTACTTGCTGGCTCGGCGTCTCTCTCGGCAGTCACCGGAGTGCCCGAGGGGGAAGCACGATTTACGGAAGGTGGGGACCCGAGGGCCCTGGGAGGAGCGGGGAGGCATTTTACTGCTTTCAGAGAAACGGGTGAGGGCGGCGAGCACCTCCTCCCCAGCCGAGCTGTGGCCCGCAAGTCCAGGGGACCCAGCCCCGACGACGCCCGATAAACCACCGTGGGGAAGTTCCGGGGCTCCCTGTTGCCCTACTAAGGGAAGTGAGGACTGTGGGCGAATTGTGCGTGCGGCCAGTTTCTTTGTGTGTTTCTAGGGGGTGGGGGGAGCGGGGAAGGGCAAGGTTTGTTTTGGTGTAGGGGGAGTTGGTTTCTTGAGGTGGTAGGGCGGTGCAGTTTGTTCTGGTAACTATGACCCTAGTCAGTTTCTTTGTTTTTATTTTCTTCCTGTAACCTTCCATTACTTCAGGCACTCGGAAGATTAGGATTTACTCTTGAGTTAAACAGGGACCCTATCCGAGACAGTTTTACCCCAGCAATTCTTTCTCCCCCTTCTTAAGTTGTCCTAAGGAGGGTTAAGAAAAGCTTTTCTTTTTCTTTTAATAATTTAAAAATGAATTTGACCTTGTTATTCAGAGTACGCTGAAAGCACCTGTTTTTGAACTGGAATTTGCCAGACTTGAAAAGCCTTTTAAAATTTTATGTCGCAAAATTGAACACATTTAGTTGCCCAATCTAAAAGTCTGGGAGTTTGTTTCTGGTGGAGTTTCGGAGAAAACCCTCATGGCATTTAAAGTATTTATATAATGATTTTGGGAAGGGGGATCTTTTTTAGGCGAAAGGTATGCGTGACTCAGTGTTTGGTGGTTATTCAGTGCCTTAGGATGACCTTGAAGAAGCAAATGTTTAGGGAGTTGGGCCTTTTGGAAACATTGTAAGGAGGCTGGGGAGCTGGCTGGGGAGGAAGCTGCTCAGGAAGATGACACAGGGTAACGGCTAGCTTCTTCCCAGATCCCGTGAACTGTGGTTGACCTTCTGGTTACCTCTCCTAGATTTTTCTTTTCAAGCTAACCTTTTCTTTTTTTGTATGTGGCCCCAGGCATAGCTCAAAAATTATGCTGGTTTGACACATGGATGCTTCTTTGGTATTTGGGGTTTGCCTGTAGTCTAGACATCCGATACCCACCACCATATCTGTTGCTTCTTTCCTGATTTCTCCTGCATTTGAATCATGTGTAAGGCCTAGAATCTAAGTGATCATTACTAGGAAATAATACCCTTGAATGCCCCTGCCCCCACACACCTAAAAATCGATACTAGTTGAAATCCATTTTTTTTCATTATTTTGTTATTAATAAACCTATTTTTCCCAAGTTTTGGTTGACCAAATTACAATACCAAAAGGCAACCTATATTAGTACATTTCTGTAGTAAATAGAAAGAGCATGTCAGGAAAATGAAAAACTTTGGACCTATTTTTCCCAAGTTTTGGTTGACCAAATTACAATACCAAAAGGCAACCTATATTAGTACATTTCTGTATTAAATAGAAAGAGCATGTCAAGAAAATGAAAAACTTTGGATTTAATAACTTTGGCTTTCCTTTCGCAGCTATTTCTCTGGGTCCTGTATTTAAAATGCATATGAGGTGCTTTGCAAATACGCTGAGATTGTTTGAGTTGTTTTTCTTAATTAGTATTTCATAGCTAAGTTATGGCTAGAATTTCCATTTCCTAGCAGATTTCATATACTACATACAGAGCTTAATGGTTTTTGTTTTACTAATTAGATGATGTAAAACAGAGATTTGGATTATCAATGTGAATGAATTCAGGGTGGGAAAGACCCACAGACAAGGTCTCTACTGCCTTCTCTTTGTATTGCTTTTGTGGGAGGTTGGAGATACGAAGTTCAATTGGTAGAATATTCTAGATCACTGGTGGACAGCAGGCCCCAAGTCTGTCTGTCCTTGCACAGTATTCTTAATTCTGTATATCTGGAACCTGAATGGTCAATTTTTTTTTTTTTCCCCCAGAGTGGTTATCAAGTCCTGGGAAATCCTGACTCATAGGGCTCAAACTCAGACATATTTATGTCAGAGAAGCAATTTAAGAACCATTTTACATGTAAAATAAAAGTTTTTCACTGGGGAAAGCATAAACTTTTAAATCTAAACCAACTATACAGGGCTCTTATGAGGATAAATTAATCAATTTACCATGCCAGGCACATAGTAGGTTGCTTTAAAAGTATGTCATTTTCGTTTTTTCTTAAGAGATGGTAGGAATATAATTGGTTGAGCAGAAAAGGAACACATGTATTGAGGCACGAAGTTTTGCTGTTCAGAGGTTTCTGGGTTAGTAATGCTTGGGTTTCAAAGCTGTCATCATCTTATAGTCACTTTGTGATCCAGTTTTTTTCATCTGTAAAATGGTAGTAATACCTATTTTAAATAAGTTGTAATTAAGCCAGTGACATGATTGATAAATATTAGCTGTGTTGTCCTCACAACACTGGGAAGTAGACATTTTACAGAAGATAAAACTGAGGCCTGTGTCAGTTATCGTTTCTGGGGAAACATTAAGTAAATTTTTAGTGGAAAGAATGAGTGTCTTTGGTCCCCTCCCTTACCTTAAGAAAGCAGTTCTGGGAAGACACTGCCCTTGACTCTTGGTTGTCTTTTCAATTCTGATTCAACCATTTTACATCAGAAAGTCCTGCGGAAACCTGGAAAATGTCATTTTTCTTTCTTCCTGATTTCTCTTGTCCACAAGATTGTCTTGTATTTCCCACACTTAAGTTTTGATTTTGGGGTGTTATAAATTGAGACTTTTTTGTTGTCTTTTGTTTCTCCAGTTTTTTATTGAATCTGCAACTAGGATTTTTCTGTATTATGGAAATAATCTGGAAATGTCATCTAGTCCAAAAAGGGAGTTTGTTTTCAAGGTAGGGAGGTTTTCTCTTTGCCTCAGAAATACTAATGTCACAGGTACACCGCTGTTACATATTCAAGTATGAAAGTTACAGTTGAACTAAAAGAATTTATTTCTAGCTTTGTATTTAGTTGTTTTCCACCTATTATAAGTTTGGTTTGGCTTACTGTTATTTTAATTTGGTAAATGTTAACTGTGCTGAGTTGAAGTAGCTCTCATTTCTCATTTCTCCCCACACTAGTCTAATTTCCTTCCCCCTGCTCCTGCTTGAAATAAGCAAGAAACATTTTTTCCTATAGCTTTTAAAACCTCAGGTTTTTTTTCCTGCAAAAGTCTATAGACCAAATGTTAAAAAAAGACTCCTTTTTAAAAACATTAAAAATATTTCTATGATCAATAGTGCAAACAATGACTCCTTTCAAAACATTAGTTTTTAAAATTCACGTCTTTATTGTAGACACCATTTCCCATTCCATGCCCTTAAATATACTGTTTATATTAATCTTGGCTGCCCCACTCTTTGAGTAGTTAGCAAATTCTACCCGTTTCTGTGTACTATGTACAGCCAGCACCTGGTTGTAATACAAGACTTAGTTTCTGCTCTACAGCGGTTTACTATTGAGTAGAGGAGATAATGCAGTAAACAAGAAGTGAAATCTTATGTGGTAGGTGTTCTAATAAAGGTATGGAAGGGTTTTGTAAAATAAGTAATTCTTAAGAGAATTTCCCAGGTCAAGGGGATAGAGGGTAAGCCGTCTCAGGCAGAAATAACAGCCTGAGTAGAGGGTGGCTAGTTATTAAAGTTTGTTTGACACTCCTAGAATATCAGAATTCCAAGTTGGGAGCAGCTGGTAGGCAGGAGCAGATCCTGAAAAGCTTTGAATTCCTTGCCAAGGAGTTTAGATACTATCATGAAGCCAGTGTTGGTACCTTGGAAGGGAAGATTAGTAGTTGAACTTTAGGAAGATATCACATGTTTAAAGGATGTAGGGAAGTCAGTTACAAGGTTCTGACAGGAGTTCATGCACCATGATGAGGAACAAACAGGCAGTGGGGATGGAAGTGAAGGAAGAAACAGAATTTCTAAGGACTTCACAATAAATTTGATGGAGGGCCATGCAGAGGGTGAAGGAAGAGCTCAGTTGGCTTCCAAGTTGTTTTTGTGTGACTGTGGATGACAACCAAGATAGGTAAATAGAGGAAGAGCAGATTTGGAGGGAAGATTATATAATCAATTCTCAGGGTATTTAAAGATTGGAATGGATTGGTGGTCAGTTGGCCATATTTATCCTAGAGCTAAGGGGAGAGATTGGACCAGGGAATGAATAATAGGTATTACCAATAAGGTTGGTTAGTAACTTCCTGCGAGTGGATTGCCCAAAGACAGAAAGCAAAATGATACCTGAAATGTAAGAGGAAAAAAAGAGAGAAAGAAGAAAGATTGGTGAGTAAAAAGAATTGTCAGAGCTGAGTGCATACCTTGTGCCGATCTTTGTGTTGATGTTGTGTTGATGCTTTACAGATACTATTCAGGAGATTTGGATTTGTCATTATTATTTTGAGACTGAGCTTTGCTCTTGTTGCCTAAACTGGAGTTCAGTGGTGCGATCTTGGCTCACTGCAACCTCTGCCTCTGGGTTCAGGCAATTCTCCTGCCTCAGCCTCCTGAGTAGCTGGGATTACAGGCGCACGCCACCAGGCTGGGCTAATTTTTTGTATTTTTAGTAGAAACGGTGTTTCACCATGTTAGCCAGACTGGTCTCGAACTCCTGACCAGGTGATCCACCTGCCTCTGCCTCCCATAGTGCTGGGATTACAGGCGTGAGCCACTGTGCCCGGCCTGTCATTATTTTATAGATGAGGAAACAGGATTAGTGAGGTTAAGGAACTTTCCTGAGGTTTGGGTCAAATCAGGTGTGTATACTATCATGTATCCATTTTCTTAACATTTTTCTCAAGTTTGAAAATGGGAGAACAGCTTCATAGAGGAGTATATGGGGCTTTTCATGACCTTAAAGTCTCCCTGAAAAGGCTAAGTTCCTCTTTTCCCACAGACCTGGGCTTAAAAGAAAATCTTTAGTAATCAGAATTTTACCTTCAGTTAAATTTGTTGTATATATCTTGGGATAGATAGCATTTATTTTTCTGTAATGTGCAACTCTTATAAATTCAAGGAAATAAACAGAATTTCCCAATGTTACAGAAGGGCAAATAAAATTAGGAGTGACTTCCTATTTAGTTGTAAAGACAGAAGCAGAAATATACTCCAAATTGACTCATTGCAGACCCAAGTATGGTTATATTTTCTAACTCATAATCATCCATTAAAAGCAAATAAATATTCTTTCTGACACTTTCAGTTTTTTTTTTCATGTACTGGAATTCCTCTTAATCTAGAATTGGGAGACCTAGTTTTGTTTCTCTTTTTTTTTTTTTCGCTCTACCAAAATTGGAGGGGCCTGGTGTTTTACACTATCTAAAGCCCAGAGACTTGAATTTGTAATTTTATTTTTAACCTATGCCATTTCAGTTGAAGACTTGTTTATTTCTGAGTTTGACCTCTTTCCTATATAGGATGAGTTTTAGGCTCTTCTGCCAAGTGTGGATTCCATAGACAGCCACAGTTATAAATGCTTTACCATATAATTTCTCAGAGACAGGGCACATGTTTGAAGAGGCTGTTGGCAAACAAGTGGGGTCTGCTACCCCTTTCTCAGTTTTATTCTAGACAGATTTACATTTATCCCTTAAAGTTAGCTAAATTCAGGAATTTTGCTGAGATGTAGGCTGCTATCTAGAAGCAGGTAAGAGGAAATAATGTCTTACTGCTCCATGGGTTTCCTTAACTGCAGATGAAACATGTCTCATTATTGGGGAATACTGCAGCCAAATAGCCTAGCCGCGGGAGAATACAAAGCATTTAGTCCTGTTGACCGTTTGTGAAAAGTGTTGCTCCAGTTACACTGTTAGTGTTTACTGGATGCTGTACTTAAATGTGATTAATGATAGCATATGATTGACTAAAATGGTGTCAGTGGTGGCATTACCAATTACAGGAACTCAAGTATCCCCACAGTTTGTGATCGCGAGTATTTTTTCGTGTTATTTCTTTTCCTTTCCCATCATCATGATTTCTAGTTTGGCTCTAAAGAAATGCATCTCCTTCACTTCAAAGTTGTCTTTGGTTGCTTAGTTCTTTTTGTCTTTGTTCACTGCTGCTTCCTTCCCACTTTACAAATCTTTCGCTTGTCTCCTGTCTGCAGTTTCCTTCCCATTCTGCTCTGTGTGTATTTAGATCTTACCAGTCTATTTCGTAGTCTCTCCCATGGAGTGTATTTTCTAATTTGTATCTCTCCATCTGTATGTCTTTGAGGAAGTTTATTTAAGCTCTCTGTGCTTTTTTAGATTACTCTTAAGGTGTGTCTTGATAACCAAGGTTATTGGAGAGTGATGCTCTTGGTTAAAAAAAAAAAAGCAGGAGGTAGTAAAGTGAAAGTAAGCTTCTTTTATGCTTGTACTCCTCAGAGGCAACCACTATTTACTATTTTTAAGAACCAATTTAAAAAGAAGTTTGTGTAGTTACAGTCTCATTTTAAAAACATCCTGTGAGATTATACTGTATTACTACTGTTCAACTTGCTTTAAAGGTTGAAACAGCGTGCTGTGGTGTTTCAACCATAATTTAACCAGTCTGAAAATTCGTTGACATTTAAGTCACTTCAACTATCTTGTGTTTTTTTTTTGTTTTTAAAGACTTAGGCCAGTTGATTTTTAGAAAGAAAAAAATGATAATTAGAAGCTAGGGTTTTGGTTTATTGGAAACTTAAGGATAGTTTCATTTGGGAGGTTGTTCCCCTAATTTGTGCATATCAGAATTTCAGTTCCCAAGATGACTTGGACAGTTGTGAAGTTAACTGTTATTTACCACGTTTGACTATTGCTCTCAATTTTCTTCCATCTAGTCCACCCAGTGGTATTACTGAGTTTTGAAAGGTACTTTTGAATATTAAAAAACGCTTTACTTCTGAATATATAAAAAAGCCAGAAGAAGGAATCTAGAAAGTGGAATTGGGGAAGTTAGAGTAAATAATGATGTCCTTCAAAGCATGCATGCCAACTAAGGTGAACTTAACATATGTTAAATTCATCGTAATAAGAACCCTCTCCATATCCTTAAATGTGAGTTAACACCCTTATAAAGATTTAAAAAGACAAGAAAATAGTTGAATTAAATTCATCACCTTTTCTCTGTCTCCTATTCCATATTAAAAAGGGTACTAAAGCTCTAAAATTTGCATTTCAGTATTTTTCATTCTGTTTCCTGGTTGGAGCTTAAAATGAACAAGTATTTAGTATTGCTGAGATTTATAAGAGATAATCTTTAATCTTATTTATCAGAAAACTTTTCTTAAATAGCGTCTTTAATATAAACTATCGCTGTGAAACTCTTTTTCTTTCCTATGTATATTATTATATTCAGTAAACTTATGTGTTTAATTAGATGTAAAATTAGACGTTATTCTTGATCTTTGGCTTCCCAATTTCATTAGATGGGATTAGAATTGTCCCTTTTGTGTCTTTGATATATTGTGGTTATCTCATCCCTTTCTTGACTCATCAGCACCAAGGTTAGATTCATTAAGTTAGATTCATTAAGATCATTAAATTTATATGAAACCCACAGCTTTAAAGTAGAAGAAAACCCTACAAATCAGCCAAAACAGATGTTTAGAATTGATTGTTGTGTTTTAAAACTTTATTTTTTTGTTTATATATATTGTCCATATAATTAGTTATCTTTTTAAATTGCTTTTGCTGACTTAGCTATTACCTTTAATCTTTTTTAACTTTGGGATATTCAGTTTATTTGGTCAGAGCTATAATTATGGCATGGTTTTTTTTTTATTTTTTATTTTTGAGATGAATTTTTGCTCTTGTCCCCAAGGCTGGAGTGCAGTGGCACAATCTCGGCTCACTGCATACTCTGCCTCCCGGGTTCAAGCAATTCTGCTGCCTCAGCCTCCTGAGTAGCTGAGATTTACAGGCGTCTGCCACTACTACGCCTGGCAAATTTTTTTATATTTAGTAGAGACAGGGTTGCGTCATGTTGGTCAGGCTGGTCTCAAACTCCTGACCTCAGGTGATCCACCCACCTTGGCATCCCAAAGTGCTGGGATTATAGGCTTGAGCCACCACGCCCGGCCATGGTTGATTGTTTTTAACTGTTACAGTATTAAAACAATTTTTGGGTTTTTGGCTAATAGTAGTCAAAGAAAGAATGCCAGTGAAAGTGCTTTATAAAATGTAAAGTGCTATACAAATGACAACTTAAAATTTAAGCAACACATTTATTACACCTGTGAAAGCAAATAAAAGAAAAAACTGATCAACACAGTCCTCCTCTAAATTTCTTTCTGGCCCAGGAATGTGTGTATATTGCAAAAACAGCTATGTCAGAGATAAGCGTTACAAACTCCCATAAATAGGCATGTTTTAACTGTAACCTTTCAAATCCTGAGGAACTTCTCAAAATGTTTGTCCTATTTGAAGAAACTTCAGACAGCATACTGTAGACAGATAGATGATGATAGATGGTGTCAGAAGAAAAGATAAAACTGGTCCAAGATGGCTGCAGTTTGGACATATGCATAATTAAACCACTGCCTACAAACTAAAGCTGACCCCTTGGGTTTGTAACTGGAGTTTGTTAAATATTTTACTGACAGATACTGGTTGTAAACTTGTTTATCAGATACAGAACAAAGGCAGGATGGAATCAATCATCCTTCCACCAGACCCTAAGGTGCCTACACAATTATTAACTTTTCTCTTCTACCCACTCAACCACATATTTACTTGACTTTAGGCATAACATCACTGAATATGAACCAAATTCTCAACTATTGCTTCACCATACCGCACATATTTTCCTGTTTAAAAAATATATAAAGACTGTGCCTCATGCAGTCTACTTCAGAGCACAGGTAATAAGCTACTGGAACTTGTGCTTCCTGGGTGCGCATCCTCAAGCTTTGTGTTTGCAAGCAGCACATTCAGATTCAGAACACCTCCTGACTTAGTCAATCTAATGAGAAGGTATTAAAAATTATGGAGAACAAATCCTCTAAATCGACTAAATCCCCTGCAACTGCAGAACATCTGATTCCACCTTTAGAAACCCCAGCTGGGTTAATATACAGTACTTGGGGTGCCTCATTGTGTAATTACTTAAACAAATGGACCAGGATGACTGAAGAATGACTCCACATCACAATGGCCTAAATGCAGATCCTTTGATATATGCAGACCAGGATGGAAGGTGCTAGTGCAAAAATTAAGCAACCAGAATGGGGAAACTACTTCCAGTGGTATCTTGAAAGTAGCAAAAGTGGGTAGGATGATCTTTCTTCCTTATAGAATGCTGATAAACAACTTAGAGGTGTTAACAGATAGCTCTCAAATATACTCTCCTATTAAAAAAAAAAAATCTTCAGAAGTACCTCTCTTTGGGCCTCCTTCACCACCTACACCTTCACTCTATCTTCATCTTTCTTTTTTTTTTGAGACGGAGTCTCGCTCTGTTGCCCAGGCTGGAGTGCAATGGCGCGATCTCGGCTCACTGCAAACTCCGCCTCCCGGGTTCGCGCCATTCTTCTGCCTCAGCCTTCAGAGTGGCTGGGATTACAGGCGCCCGCCACCACGCCCGGCTATTTTTTTTTGTATTTTTAGTAGAGACAGGGTTTCACCGTGTTAGGCAGGATGGTCTCAATCTTGTGACCTCGTGATCCGCCCGCCTCGCCTCCTAAACTGCTGGGATTACAGGCGTGAGCCACTGTGCCCTGCCACTCTATCTTCATCTTTCTAACTCTCCAGGCTGGATCTGATTTTTCTTCTTCTGCCATCTCTTTCTCCTTGTCTGCCACTTGTTAGACTGTGACAGGAAACACGGCTCCAAAGGCCCCTGCTCTTGTTGTCCTTCCACCTACCCTGGCAGCAACCTCTTGTTCAGAAGTGACGGACAGGAACTCCACAGGAATGCTTCCTGTGGTTGCCTCATTCTGGGAACAGCCTATGATAGGTGGGGGATTCCTAATTCTCTTTCTCTTTTTTTTAAGGGATTAAAACATTTAATTGGCCGGGCGTGGTGGCTCACGCCTGTAATCCCAGCACTTTGGGAGGCTGAGGAGGGTGGATCATCTGAGGTCAGGAGTTCGAGACCAGCCTAGCCTGGTCATTATGGTGAAACCCCATCTCTACTAAAAATACAAAAAATTAGCCGGGCGAGGTGGTGGGCACCTGTAATCCCAGCTACTTGGGAGGCTGAGGCAGGAGAATCGCTTGAACCCAGGAGGTGGAGGTTGCAGTGAGCCGAGATCGTGCCATTGCACTCCAGCCTGGGCAACAAGAGCGAAACTCCGTCTCAGAAAAAACAAACAAACAAACAAAAAAACATTTAATTACACATATACACCCAGATATTACACATATTCAGTGCATTCAGAATCCCAGCAGGATGTTTGTGGAAATTAACAACTTATTCTGAAATTGTTTTGATAATGAATAGGGCCAAGAATAGCCAAGATAATCTTAAAGAATAAAGTTGAAAGACTTATCAGGTATGACTTATAAAGCTGTAGTAATTAAGATAGTATTAGTGGATAATATACAATTATATGAAAAGAATAGAGCATTCAGATACAGCCCCATATTGAATTTATGACAGCAGTACCACTGCAGTGCAATAAAGAAAAGAGTGATCTTGGCTGCATGGGGTGGCTCACACCTGTAATCCCAGCACTTCGGGAGGCCGAGGCAGGTGGATCACCTGAGGTCAGGAGTTCGAGACCAGCCTGGCCAATATGGTGAAACCGTCTCTACTAAAAATACAAAAAAAAAATAGCTGGGCGTGGTGGCGGGTACCTGTAATCTCAGCTACTTGGGAGGCTGAGGCAGGAGAATCGCCTGAACCCAGGAGGTGGAGGTTGCAGTGAGCCGAGATCGTGCCATTGCACTCCAGCCTGGGCAACGAGAGCAAAACTGCGTCTCAAAAAAAAAGAAAAGAGTGATCTTTTCATTAAATGGTGCTGGGTGATCTACATATCCATGGGGAAGAGGGCCAGGGAAGAATCTTTGACCCTTACCTTTAATGCCATGTAAAAATATCACAAATTCTAGAACAATTAAAATCTAAATTTGAAAGGAAAACAAACTTCTGGAAGATAATAATGGAGATTATTTTCCCGACCTGGAGGAAAGCAAAGATTTCTTAATCAGGACGCAAAAAGAGCTAGCTACAAAAGAAAATGCTGATAATTTGTACTACATTAAAATTAGGAACTTAAGTTCCTCAAGACTCAGTTAAATGAGTAACAGTGAACAGAGTAAAGACATCTATGAAACATATAACCACCACAGGTCTTGTATCCAGAAGATAAGCACATGACTGAAGAGGATACCTAAATGGCCAATAAGTTCTAGGACCCATTTGGAATCAGGGAAATGCTTATCAAAACCACACTGAGATACCACTGAAATAACAAATGACTGATACCAAGTGTTGGCAAATATCTGAAATAAATGGAGCCTTCATACAATGATGGTATGAGTGTTAACTGGTACCATCATTTTAGGAAACAGTTTAGCAAGATCTACTGAAGGTAAATTTACACATTTTCTATGACCCAGCAGTTCTATTCCTAGAAATACACACACTCACACACACACACACACAAAATACGTAAAACAATGTTGAAAACACATTACTTGTAGTAGCCAAAACTGAAAATGTCCCAAAATGTCTATCGACCCTAGAATGGATATGCTGTCACACAACGGAATTCTATACAGTGAAGAAAAATAAAAAATACAGCATGGATAAATCTCACAAATGTTGAACAAAAGAAGCCAGACTGAAAGAGTACATTCTGTATAGTTCCAATTAAGTTTAAAAACAGGAAAAACCAATTGATGGTGATAAATGTCAGTTGTTACCATTGGGACCAGGGAACAGTGACTGGGATGACACCTGTAGACTGCTGGTACCATCCTCTTTCTGATCAAAAGTTACTTCTCCTTTGCCAGCTTTGTCAAACAGCTAGCTGAAAGGCTACCATAAACAAAGTATCAGGGGCACCCAGGACCAATCAAAAGGCCACACATTCTTGAAAAGATACTAGTCATTAAAATGGAAATAGCTGGTGGATGCCACCTTCATCAAGTGATCAAACTTAGCATCATCAACGCTGGGACAACATTCCTCCCATCTTTGGTCTGACCCACCACCCCACTTAAAAGTTCCACAGTCTTTGGGTTAGGCTGGCTTTCTCCAGAAATGTTCAAGTATGGAGTGATAAAGTCACTGGGAGACATGAAAAATTCACCATTTTTCTCAATGCTTGCATACTTCAAAAATATTGTTATAAGCTCAGTTGGATCTGCTCTCTCAGTTAAAGCCACCTTGGCAGCCGCCATGCTTGGCCCTGGGTCCAGGGGGCTGCGGG
Source organism: Homo sapiens (assembly GCF_000001405.40). Classification (NCBI taxonomy): domain Eukaryota; kingdom Metazoa; phylum Chordata; class Mammalia; order Primates; family Hominidae; genus Homo; species Homo sapiens. The sequence continues at coordinate 31,311,587 of NC_000012.12, read as the reverse complement.
ACCCACTCACTGGCTTGCTCATGCTCGGTCCCAGTGGTTCACTTCCAGTACCAGCAGCGTGTGTGCCCGGCCTGCCTGGAGTCCTGATTCTCTATCAACCCTAGTCGAAGGCCAAATTATGGGCCATAGTTAAGGAATTTCCTGACCCTTATGAAGATCGGATTTGCTTTACCAAAGAATTTGAACTCACAATTAAAATCTATGACCCAGGTCATTCTGACATTTATCGGCTTGTCTACATGCTGGTTTCAGCTGCTTAAGCTAAGGAATAGCTAGAAAAAGCACAGTGTGGTTGGATCCCCTAACAGATCTTGTTCCTGAAAATCCAGTATGACCTCTGCCACAGCCAACTCCCCAGCTTTCAGAAGATGGCTCAAAGACGCGTGGGTATGAGCAGCTTCTCTGTTAAATGCCATTCCCTTGTTTTTTTCAAAAGATCATAGATTACGGCCGGACACTTTGGGAGGCCAAGGCGGGTGGATCATGAGGTCAGGAGTTCGAGGCCAGCCTGGCCAACTGGTGAAACCCCATCTCTACTAAAAATACAAAAATCAGCCAGTCGTGGTGGCACACACCTGTAATCTTAGTTCCTCAGGAGGCTGAGGCAGGAGAATTGCTTGAACCTCAGAGGCGGAGGTTGCAATGAGCGGAGATTGTACCACTGCACTCCAGCCTGGCGACAGAGTGAGACTCTCTCAGGAAAAAAAAAAAAAAAAAGATCGTAGATTAGATTAAAATCCAGCGATGCTGCCAGAATCCAGATGGGCCTGTTGTAGATTTTTTTACCCACTTTGATAAAACATGAAAACAATATTGCAGATGTCAATGGACAACTTTGAAAACAATAAAAATGACATATTATTAAAATTTCCCAAACAATTTGGGTGATGCACTACCCACTCTTGTCAAATGTCACATGACTGACTAGGTGATGGCCAGAACTAATGACTGGTCAACTGGCTGACCAGTTGTCCTGCACAATGATGAAAAAGGAAAATCAAAAGGCTGTACACTTAACAATGGTAACACTTAACCTCTTAAAACTCCCAGGCTAGGAAGTCTTGGTCCTAAGAACTCTTCTCCCCTTGTCTGTCACTACTACAAGAAACTAGGCATTTTAAAAGGAATTGCAGGACATTGAAATGGAAACAGGATGATAAACTGGAAAACTAGGACTCCTCTGAGGAAATAGGGGGTTTTCATTTCTCCCAATATGCTGCTTTAACTCACTCTTTGGGAGAAATTAACACAATAGTAGGCACAGGAGCTCCTGTATCAGTTATAAATTCCACCTTACTTGAAAACCCCATTTCTCAGAGGAATGAAAAAGTTAACATGGTGGGTATACCTAATAAACCCATCCCTTGCTTTAAGTTCACATCTTTGCTTTAGTGGTTCATTGGGTTTGGCTTCCTCCCAAGGGCTGTGAATGTGATACCCTTAGCCAATCCCATGTTTTCCTGATATGCCCAGAAGTACCTGTTTAACCTTCTGGATTGAAATTTCCACGACATCCATAATGCTCATCTCTTTTTCCTTAAAGTGGGAAATGTTGCTGGAACTGAAATCATGGGATTGGGGAAAGCAAACCAAAAAATGCCCTCATAATATATCACAAGTTGGCCGGGCACGGTGGCTCACGCTTGTAATCCCAGCACTTTGGTAGGCTGAGGCAGGTGGATCACCTGAGCTCGGGAGGTTGAGACCAGCCTGACCAACATGGAAAAACCCCATCTCTACTAAGAAAATACAAAATTAGCCGAGCGTGGTGGTGCATTCCTGTGATCCCAGCTACTCCGGAGGCTTAGGCAGGAGAATTGCTTGAACCTGGGAGGCGGAGGTTGCGGTGAGCCGAGATCACACCATTGCACTCCAGCCTGGGCGACAGAGTGAGACTCCGTCTCAAAAAAAAAAAAAAAAAAATCACAAGTTGATGTTAGTGGTGTAAAGACACCTTCATGTGATTGGGAAAATGAGAAAACAAAATGAAATATAATAAAGGGAAGGAAACCATAAGGCTCCTTTTAAACTTCAACTTTTCTACTAATGCCAGAAGCTAAGCTTTTACTTGAAACTATTTCTTACCTGCTGTGGTCCCAGTCTAACATAGGCATAGGAAAGATACTCTCAGCTACTCCAATAAAGGTTGAGATTAACACTAAGAATCCCTTGCTTAACGTAAAATAATAGCCACTATGGCAAGAAGCCATAGATGGAGTTGCCCCAATCATGAGATTATCTTGAGAGAGGTTTTATTATTCCCTGCATCAGTCCCTGCAACACCCCCATTTTCCTTGTCAAGGAACCAAATGGGAAGGGGATGGAGATTTGTACAAAACTTACGGGCTGTAGACAGTATTATAATACCTAGATATCCAGTGCTTCTTAACCTTCATACACCTGTCTGCCATACCAAATATCAAGGATGATAGTGTTCTTTTTTTTTTTTTTTTTTTTTTTGAGACAGAATCTCACTCTGTCACCTAGGCTGGAGTACAGTGGCACAATCTCAGCTCACTGCAGCCTCCACCTCCTGGGATCAAGTGATTCTCCTGCCTCAGCCTGCCAGGTAGCTAGGATTACAGATGTGTACCACCACACCTGGCTTATTTTTGTATTTTTAGTAGAGACGGGGTTTCATGATGTTGGCCAGGCTGGTCTCGAACTCCTGACCTCAAGTGATCCACCCGCCTCAGCCTCCCAAAGTGCTGGGATTATAGGTGTGAGCCACTGTGCCTGTCCCTGACGATATTTTTCAGTTGCGGATCTCTGTAGTGCCTTTTTAAAGCATCCCTATACATCTAGGTAGTCAGTATTTGTTTGCCTTTTCCTGGAGAGAATGACGGTATACTTGGACTGTGATGTCACAGGGATATACAGCGCCCCACTTACTTTTCCCAAATACTGAAATATGAATTTAGCAGACTCGGACTTCTCTCAGGGGATCCTCATCCCTCATCCAGTGTATGCATACCTCCTCCTTTGCTCTGACACACTTTCTTCCTCTGAAGAAGAAAACTTGTACTTACTTCAACAATTGACCATTACATTAAGGGTAAACTTTAATTTTGTCTTTCTCAAGTCAAACATGTGGCACATGTTATGTCAGCCAAAGGATTGAGCATCAATCCTGATAGAATCAAAGGAATCTTAGCTTTTTTGATGCTTCCTACTAAAAAATAGCTTAGAGGGTTCTTGGAGTTGGCCTGCTGTTGTGGAAGCTGGATACTAAATTTTTATTGTGTGACTCAACCCTTTTGTACCTGTTTAAAGAATGACCAGCCTGATCCCATCATGTGGACTCGTGAGGGACAGCCAGCTGTGCAACAAATTAAAGAAAGATTAGTAGGCCAGGCGCGGTGGTTCACGCCTGTAATCCCAGCACTTTGAGAAGCTGAGGTGGGCAGATACTTGTGGCTAGGCGTTCAAGACCAGCACGGGCAACATGGTGAAACCGTGTCTCTACTAAAAATACAAAAATTAGCCAGATGTGGTGGCAAAATGCCTGTAGTCCCAGTTACATGGGAGGCTGAGGCAGGAGAATCGCTTGAACTTGGGAGGCAGAGGTTGCAGTGAGCCGACTGCATTCCAGCCTAAGTGACAGAGCAAGAGTCTGTTGTTGTTGTTTTTTTTTAAAAGGTTAATAAATGCCCCAGCAATAAGACACCCAAACTATGAACTTTCTCTCTTTCTGTTCATGAAGATGGGGGGAACACATTTGGTATGTTGACTCAGACCTATAGGCTATTATAGTCAGCAGTTAGATCCAATGACTCGAGGATGGCCCCCTTGTATGAGGGCAATATCAGCTATAGCCCTTCTATATAAAACTGTTGGAGAGATAGTCATGGGGTCCTCTCCCTTACTGCCTTCATTCCGTATTCAGTTGAGCTACTTCTGAATTCCCATCATAACTCAACACTTGTCTTTCAATAGATTAACTTCCTATTAGGTCTTAATTTTATTATCCTCTAATGTTACCATCTCGTTGCAGTAATCCTAACCTTGCCACTCTCTCTCTCTCTCTCTTTTTTAGACAGGGTCTTGCTCTGTCACCCAGGCTGGACTGCAGTGGTGTGTTCACAGCTCACTGCTGCCTTGACCTCCTGGGCTCAGTTAATCTGCCTGCCTCAGCCTCCCGAGTAGCTGGGACTACAGGCTTGCACCACTGCACCTGGCTAATTTTTATATTTTTTGTAGAGACAGGGCTTACCATGTTGCCCAGGCTGGTCTCAAACTCCTGGGCTCAAGCGGTCTGCCCACCTTGAGTGGCACTTGTGGATCTCTAGTGCCTTTTTAAGCATCCCTATACATCCAGGTAGTTAGTATTTGTTTGCCTCTACCTGGAGAGAATGACGGTATACTTGGACTGTGATGTTACAGGGATATACAGTGCCCCACTTACTTTTCCCAAATACTGAAATATGAATTTAGCAGACCACAAAGTGCTAGGATTATAGGCATGAGCCACTGCACCAGGCCTGGCCAGTCTTCTGATAAGACCTCTCATTACTTCATCCTGATGACACACCCAACTTTTTACCCCAAGGACAGACCTACAAGAATCACCACTAGATAATGCTAAGACAGAATGGTTTACAGATGTATCTTACTTGAGGGGAGAAGGTGGTAAGGTTAAAGCAGGATGTGCCATGGTCATTGAAGCTGGTCTTCTTCAGGCTAAGTCAGCCCAACTGGCTGAACTGATTGCCCTGACTCAAACTTGTTAACTAGCAAAGAATAAAGTAGCAAAAATTATGCCCCTATGCATCTGATGGTGCTCATGACTTTGGAATGCTATGGAAAGAGAGAGGGTATTTAACCTTCTCAGGGCAACCCGTAAAAAAATGGACTAGTCTTGGATCTCGCTTTTGGCAATTATAAAGGTTCCAGGCTGCTCTGAATTAAACACAACACAGAGTCAAGGTAATCACTTTGCTGATGCAGTAGCTAAGAGTGCTGCATTTGAGACACCAGTCCGATCCTTGGAATGACTGTGAGACTTAAACAGTTAAATCTACGCTAAAGGAAACCCAAGACTTAGCTTTCATCGAAGAAAGATCTACCTGGAAACAAAAGGGGGGGGTACTTTTCCCGCAAACTGAACTATGGTATGGACCTAATGATAAACCCATTATCCTAGTGGGGTATCAGATACCCCTCATGGAACACATTTACAGCTTGACCCATTGGAATTCAGATAAAATGATATCCTATTATAAACAATATTATTGGAGACTGTCATCATGGCACAGAAGATTGATTTACAGTGTACCATCTACCCAAAACACAATCCTGGAAAACCCCTTTATGGGGCTCAGGATCATTTTCTTTTTCTACCTAGACCTTTTGAGATGTGGCAGCTTGATTTTATCTAGCTGCCACCATCTTAAGCATATAAATATGTATTGGTAATGATATGCATGTTTTTGCATTGGGTAATGCAATTGCCCATCCTGCTGATGGGCAATGGTAGTGGGTAAAATCTTATTAAGGGATTACCCCATTATGGGGAGTCCCCTTTTGAACTTCACAGCAATAGGGGAACTTATTTTACTGCCCAGGTCATTGAGCATTTGTAAAATTTGGGGCTGGGCGCAGTGGCTCATGCCTGTAATCCCAGCACTTGGGAGGCCGAGGCGGGCGGATCACCTGAGGTCAGGAGTTTAAGACCAGCCTGGCTAACATGGTGAAATCCTGTCTCCACTAACAATACAAAAATTAGCCGGGCATCGTGGCGCACGCCTGTAGTCCCAGCTACTCAGGAGGCTGAGGCAGGAGAATCGCTTAAACCTGGCAGGCGGAGGTTGCAGTAAGCCAAAATCATGCCACTGCACTCCAGCCTAGGTGACAGAGCGAGACTTAGTCTCAAAAAAAAAAAAAAAAAAAAATTGGCCTATATTTCCGTATTTTGATTGTGCCTACCACCCTTAGTTCCTCTGGATTGGTAGAATGGAACAATGGAATAATAACACAATTGGCTAAGTCCCCGGATTGGTAGAATGGACCAATGGAATAATAAAAACACAACTGGCTAAATTTATGGAGGCTTTTCACCTCTGCTAGGCTGAAGGCACTCCCCTTGGTATTGCTCAACCTTTGATCCATCCCTTTATCAGCTCTCTTCTCATGAAATTGTAACTGGAAGACCCAGGCACATGGGAATCAAGATGACTGATACAAATTTACTGAATGGGGACATCTTGCACTGTTGTAAGGGACTTGTTCACCAGCTCATGAAAAGCCAGACCTTAGTGCAAGACACGTCCCACAGTGCGCTCCTGGGAGATGAAGATTCTGGTCATGACCTCCAACCTGGAAATTTTGTCTGTTGGAAAAGACATCTCATAAAGGACTCCCTCCAGCCTTGGTGGAGGGGCCCTTACCAGGTATCGTTGACTAATCCATGCACAGCAGAGTTAAAGGTTGTAGACTCACGGATCCATATCTCTCACCTTAAAAAGGCACAACTTCCTGAATGGACCATGACTCCCACCAAAGATCCCTGTCTCTGATTCACCAAACAGCTTCAACCCTGAAACCAGGACGAGAAGTTGACAACATCTGAGTGGACAGCTAATTGACCTAAGACTTCAGACCAGGCCTGTATGATCTCCTGTCTAAACATTCTTAGAGTATTATATTTACTTTGGGGACTATTGGCCTTGTCTGCTTTGACTCAGATTATAGGATATATAACCTGGTTAATGTTTCTGTACACATGATGGCCACCTATGTATATACACTTGACTTTTCAGGGTCTCTGCTGGGGATGGAAAAATAGTTCATTAGCCAAACTCTCCTAAAGTGTGGCAGATGGAGGCAGTCTCTCAGATTGCTGGATTTGTCACCAGCTTCCAAGGGCCATTCAAGATCATTACATGCTACTTGTTGCACCAGAGATTGATTTTTCTGACACTCCAAATGTTACCATATACTTACATCAGTTCCCTCCAAATGTCACTTTCCAAATTCAAATTCAGCTTCTAAAGCCAGGCCATATTTTCATTCTGTGCTTAGTAATAAGCCCTAAGTCTCACCCTTCCCCACCGCCCCCAGGTCTATCTATCAGTAAGCCAATTAGGGACAAATTCTCTAACTTATCTAGAACACAAACTTAATTCCTCATCTTTTCCAGGTCCCTGCACATTCCTGGCCTCCCACCGTTACTGTCATAACTGGCAACTGAATGTCCAAAGGAGAAAAAGCAAAGCAGATTGTGCCAGCACGTCTCATTTGTTATATATCATGCTTATGCAGGCCTTTGTAAGGCCTGCAGTAAAACCAATCCATGGCTCACTCATGTTTTAAACAACTTACCTATTCAAACTATTATGAATGAATAGTTAAGAGATACATTTTGGTATGTGGCATTGGGCCACACCCACCAACTCAAGGATGGGCACATAGTGTAAATAGCTGGCAAAATAGCTGGCAAATTGAAGGGCGCTTTTTTTTTTTTTTTTTTGAGGGAGAGTCTTGCTCTTTCGCCTAGGTTGTAGTGTGGTGGTGTGATCATGGCTCACTACAGCCTTGACCTCCCTGGGCTCAGGTGATCCTCCTACCTCAGCCTCCCGAGTAGCTGGGACAAGGAGTCTGTGCAGTAGCTCACAGTGCCTGTTGCACTTACATCGACACCTCGGGTGAAGTAGAGACTTGCACAGAAAGAATTTCCAAGCAAGCTAAATGGTTACAAGAGGCACAAACTACTGATCTTCTCAATGATCTATTTAATTGGCTTCCTATTTCTTCCAGTCTGCAGTTCAACCCCTTTTTCATGGGTAAAGTGCCGACGTCATAACAAGGTTTGAGGGAGGCACATCTCACACGTGTGAATGCCCAGTCATCACACTTACAAATGACAAAAGGATCTCAAACCTTGATATAGTCTCTATCCTACTTCTCTTACTATCACTTAAATTACTCATGGTATTTATAACCAACTTACGTAAGTCTATTGCTAAAACCAGAATTATAGGTCAGGTGCAGTGGCTCACACTCAATCCTAGCACTTGGGAGGCCAAGGTGGGAAGACTGCTTGAGGCTAGGAGTTTGAGACCAGTGTGGGCAATGCAGTGAAACCCTATCTTGATAAAAAAAAAAAATTAACACCCTCCCCGCCCATTATGGTAGCACAATGTAGATAGAATTATCCTGTAAGCGTAGCAGCAGATTCTACTACATACCCCTGGAGTGTCCACCTCAGGCCTACATCAACCTCATCTCACCTCTTTCCCTCCAACGTGGGACATGACTTCCTGGGAATGAGCCTTCCCAATGCAGAAGGACAAAAGGACATGAAGTATGATCATTTGTGTTCTCTAAAGAGAAATTTTGATCAAAAGGGGGAAAATGTGGAAATACAAGGAAAAATGGGTTGACACAGCCTCTTCTAAATATTTGTTCTGGCTGAAGAATGTGTACGTGCAAAGGCAGCTATGTCAGTTAGATCAGTGTTAGAACCTCCCATAAATAGGCATGTTTTAACTGTAACCCCTCAAATCTTGAAAAACATCTTGAAATGATTTTTTTTTTCTATTTCAGGGACCTTAAGAAAACATATTGTAGATAGACAGATAGATGATTGATGATAGTGTCAGAAGAAAAGAGAAAAGTGAGCCAAGATGGCTGCAGTTTGGACATATGGGTAATAAAACCATGGCCTATTAACTAAGGCTGACCCTTTGTGCATTTGTAACTGGAGTTTGTTAAATATTTTACTAACAGGTACTGGTTGTAAACTTGTGTATCAGATATAGAACAAAGGCAGGATGGAATCAATCATCCTTCCGCCAGACCCTGAGATGCCTACACAATTATTAATCCTTCTCTCCTACCCGCTCAGCCACATACTTACTTTACCTTATGTGTAACATCACTGAATACCAGTCAAATCGACAAGAGTGTAATTGTTGCTTCACTGTACTGCAGGTATCCCCCTGTTTAAAAAAATGTATGAATACCGTGCCTCGTGTAATCTGCTTTGAAACACAGGTTATAACCTGTTGGAACCTGTGCTTCCTGGGCGCACATCCTCAAGCTCGGCCTGATAAACTTTGTTTGATTGAGATTCCCATCTTGGTCTCTCAATTTGGGTTGACACAGCTAGTATGAGACTGGCATCCGAGATGATGAGTTTACAAAGATGATAAAGACAAGTGAATTCCTAACTCAGTTATTTTTATTTTTAAATATCTCAAAAACAGGCTTACTGAGATCTTTCACGTACCATAAAATTCACTCATTTATATACCATAAGATTCACTCTTGTAATGTGTACAATTCAGTGGCTTTTAGTATACTCAGAATTTTGCAACCATACCACTATTTAATTTTAGAAGACGAATGACAGTTCATAATCAGTATTTTAAGTTTTTCTTGATTTTTGGCTTTATCTCACAGCTTAATTTTCCTCTTCTTTCCCCAAACACATGGTTAAGGATGAGATTGTATGGGGTCTGTTCTCAGCTGTAACTATTAATCAATTAGAAAGCAGATAGTATTACCTTTCTTCCTTTAAAACATAGTGCTGAGTGATATGATGCCTATGAGAATAGAGGCAAAATTCACAGATAGTTTCATAGCTGATGGTGTCATTTGAACAAATAAGATAGATTGTACTGGAGGAATCATTTAATATTGCACAAATTTGGTACTAGGAAAGCAGTATTCTAAAGAACCACCAGATTGCTTGAAAAAACAAATCTCCAGTTTAAAATCAAGTTATGCCACGCCCACCCAGTACTTTGTTAAATATATAAAGTAACTTGGTTTCAGAGACCATTTTATGTCCTTGGTTTTGCTCTAGGGATTAAGTAGTGTTTTTTTTTTGTTGTTTTTTTAAACATTTCATGGGTTTGTAGATTTTTGGAAATAATTTCAGTTAATCTCAGGGCTTCCCAAACCTTGAAATGGTTAAACACCAACCACTGCTTAACTTGGTTGTTGTAAACAAAGCCCGAAATGAAACCCCTGTGTATTTGCTGCAGATTCCCAGGTGCCTCTTAAGTGTGAGGATAAGCTCAGAAAAGGCTTAATAGGTTTATTAAGTTGTCATCCATTAAAAGGTTCACATGCTCCTTGTGTGTTGCATAAGGACAGGTGTCTGCCACCTCATTGCATTTCTCACTGAGCATTGCCTAGGAGAGGGTAAGCCCTAGGATTTAGATCCCTCTCAGATGTTCAGGCAGAATAATTTTGTCAGGACAAAAGTAAGGTCACGGAACTATATGAAAATGGATTATGAATCCTAAGACATCAGCCTATTCTCCCCTATGTCTAAGAAGAATATTCCTCAGCTTATGACTGGAATGTCTTGCTAGGGGTGCTGGGTAAGTTTTGTGGAGGTCCCCACCAGCAGAAAAAAATCATTGAAGAGGAACACTTAATTCACAATGGCTGCTGATTAAAAAGAAAGCCTCAATATTCACCTATAACCCTAACATCCTTAACAGCTTAGCAGTGTGGTAACTGGCACAAACTATGGCGTCTTGGTCAAATCCAACCTCAGTGAAGGTAGTTCACATCCTAGAGATGAGCTGAATGCTGATAGCTTTGAGGACTTGTTTATTTGGGGGAAGGGAAAGAGATGGTGAGGGTAGAGATAGGAATCTGTCTGTCGTAATAGGATTTGGTCTGTGTATTAATGGAATGAACTGGCCTTTTTTGCTCTGCTTCTTTTGTCCTTGCTGAGAAGGGAGGCTGAAGTTTCCAAGAGTTATGGATGAAGTTGGAGAGTATTAGAGGAACTGTTCTCTGACCTTCTTGATGGTAATGCAAGCTGTTGGGCGAGTTTGGAGAAGAGCGCAGGGTGGTGTGAGGACGAGGGCCGTATTAACATTTTGCCTTAAAACAGGAATACACAAATTAAAGCAATAACTGCTACTCTGCTTTCTTGTTTCTGCAATCTTCTGTCATTTGACATTGTTTTTTCCAAAGCAACATGCGACCATTTTCTTCAGGATTTTCTTTTCAGTTATCATATGGGTTTGTTGTTGGATTGAGAAAAAAAAATCTGCCTCATTTGAGCAGGCCTCTCTAGATCTTTTCTTATGACTGTGTAGAGGGTACTTCCTCATTTTTCTTCCTCTCAAAGACATCAAATTCCCAAGCATTTAACTAAAATTATTATCAACTAAAAATGTTTTTTTTAAAACAGTTCTTAGAGGTAACTGTTTAGACTTAATTATTGAAATGCATGAAGGCCTTCTGCCTTGCCCCCATCCCACTCTTTTGCCTGCCTCTCTCACCAACAAAAACATGGCAGAGGAACAGTTTATTAACAATAGCCTGTTTGAAAGGGAAGCTTCAGTTTTTAGCTAATTATTTGCTAATAAAAGTTTTAAAAAAATTTTCTTTTAAAAGTTGTAAAACCTCTGTCTATATTTCAAAACCCCTCAATACCAAAAAAATACACATAAAAAGCCTGGATATTTGGTTCTGAATCATTTTCATTAATACTTGCTATATTATACTAACCAGAATTGGAATGGAATGGGATCAGACGAGATAATCCAAAGACAAATACAGCCATATGTCACACAAGGACGTTTCGGTCAACCACAGACTGCATATATGATGGTGGTCCCAAAAGATTATGATACCATATTTTTTTGTACCTTTTCTATATTTAGATGCACAGATTCTTACCATTGTATTACAGTTGCCCACGGCATTCAGTACCGTCACACGCTGTATAAGTTTGTTGCCTTGGAACAGTAGGCTATCCCATATAGCCTAGGGGTGTTGTAGGCTATTGCCATCTTGGTTTATGTGAGGACACTGATGTCTGCACAAGGATGCCCAATGATGCATTTCTCAGAATGTGTCCCCATTGTTAAGCAACACATGACTGTACTGAAGCTTTAGGTTTACTCATCTAAGTTTATTTCTAAAACAACTTTAAAAAGATAGTGTTCTGTGGTAATAACTCCTAAAACTATGGACACGAAAGTGATATTAATAATTTTCTTGGCCGGGCACGGTGGCTCACGCCTGTAATCCCAGCACTTTGGGAGGCCGAGACGGGTGGATCACAAGGTCAGGAGATCGAGACCATCCTGGCTAACATGCTGAAACCCTGTCTCTACTAAAAATACAAAAAGTTAGCCGGGTGTGGTGGCGGGCACCTGTAGTCCCAGCTACTAGGGAGGCTGAGGCAGGAGAATCACTTGAACCTGGGAGGCAGAGCTTGCAGTGAGCCTAGATCGCGCCACCGCACTCCAGCCTGGGTGAAAGAGTGAGACTCTGTCTCCAAAAAAAAAAAAATTTTTTTCTTTTATTGTTGCTTTATGTGATAATTTTGTGATAATTTATAGTTAGACCCTCATACATACACACATCCTCTGACTTGTCCATTGGAGTTTAGTTTCTATATTCATTGCCTTTTCATCACCTCTCTTAGTCCGGTTGTTTTGGTGAGCTGGCCCTTGATTTGGATATTCCAAATTACTTTTCCTAAGGTACAGATTTACTGCCAGCTACATATTTGCATCCAGCCCCAGAGCTGTTTTCATTCCTTCCTTGACGTTGAGATTTTTTTTTTTTTTAACAGGAGGACTGCAATTTATTTCACTCTACGTCTCTGGGACATTTGCCTCCCACTGTTACTACTCTCAGGCACAAAGCCTTGTAGAAGAGGTCCACAAACCTCTAACAACTAAGGGGCAGATCAGCGGTCAGACAACATGAGCTCGTTCTTTTTTTGTCTTAATGATAATAAGGAATTATTATTATTAAATTCTAACCTTGGATTTTTGTGAATTTTACATCTTCCCTTCAGCAGTTTCAATTCAGGGGCAAACTTGACTGCTTAGAACTTCCCATTTATCACAGAAGAAATCCCCTCTGAATTCCCATTAGGCAAAGTAGTATGGGCTGATGCATAGTGAGCTAGTTGTGTGCTTAGTATCAAATAGTATTCATGGTAAATGCTCAAAACTTCCCCAGAGGGGAATCACGTTAATGCAAATGTGCAAAATAAAAAGGTGTGTCTTAAATTTAAGGATGCATCCTTAATTGTGTACAGCTTCATTATTTTACAGGATTGTTTGTGGCATTTCTTACTTCAAAACCTGATTTTAAAAAATGCTTCTCTTCCCCATTTTTAGATTGCATGTTTGTTAGGCGAGTTAGGAGGTAGTAGAGTCCTCCTTAAATAACTAGGCTTTTCTTTGTGTTTTATACGCTTGCCTTGATAGTGCCAAGAATGGAGGTCGATCCAGGAGGTCTTCCCTTGAGCTGCCTGCCTGTCTTGGTCATATAACACCAAGTTGCTTGGGGGTGGGGTGGAGCAGAGAGAACTCTTTAATGGTTCCTTGTTACAGCCCTCAACAAAGATATGTCAATTCCCTTGGCTTTACAGACTATTGCCCAGAAGAAAAGATGTTTGGTTTTCACAAGCCAAAGATGTACCGAAGTATAGAGGGCTGCTGTATTTGCAGAGCTAAGTCCTCCAGTTCTCGATTCACTGACAGTAAACGCTATGAAAAGGACTTCCAGAGCTGTTTTGGGTAAGATCACCTGATGTTTGTACTATTCTTAGAGTGAAAAAATACCACAGCATACAGAAATATTTGTAAGCAAGGTGATTGGAACAATGTGCTAATAATAAAAATCACTTATTCTAATTTAGGCTGTGTAAGTCTCCTGCTTTTTAAATGAATCAAACAATGCTGACAGCCTACTTTTTTCCAGATTATGAGGAGCTACCACATTAATCGTGAAGCCCCTTAAAGTTGTAGCTAGACAAACCCTTTTGTTGTTGACTTCCTTTTGTGGTTAATTTTTAAAAAGGCTTTTAAAAAAATTACCCTTGACTGGGTGCAGTGGCTCACACCAGTAATCTGAGAGCATTTTGGGAGGCCGAGGCGGGCGGATCACGAGGTCAAGAGATCGAGACCATCCTGGCCAACATGGTGAAACCCCATCTCTACTAAAAATACAAAAATAAGCTGGGCGTGGTGGTGCACACTTGTAGTCCCAGTTACTCCAGAGGCTGAGGCAGGAGAATCACTTGAACCCAGGAGGCGGAGGTTGTAGTGAGCCGAGATCACGCCACTGCACTCCAGCCTGGCGACAGAATGAGACTCTGTCTCAAAAAAAAAAAAAAAAAAAAAAAATTACGCTTGACCGGGTGCAGTGGCTCACGCTAGTAATCCCAGCACTTTGGGAGGCTGAGGCAGGTGGGTCACTTGAGCCCAGGAGCTTGAAACCAGCCTGGGCAACATGGGGAAACCCATCTCTACAAAAAATACAAACAAAAAACTCACCAGACGTGGCGGTACATGCCTGTAGTCCTAGCTACGTCGGAGGCTGAAGTGAGAGGATCACCTGAGCCTGGGAGGTTGAGGAAATGAAGATACTAAAATAAAAATAAAATTTAAAAAGGCATGCATGGTTGGCACAGACCTTTTTGACACCTTCAGAATAGTTAAAAAGTCCAGGATTAACAATAAATGATCAACAAATGTTTTGATAAGAAAAAGTGGTGAAAGTAATTTCTAACATGGGAAATCATTCTTTTTTTCTTTTCTTTTTTAAAGAGACAATGTCTTCCTATGTTGCCTAGGCTGGAGTGCAGTAGCTATTCACAGGTGTGATCATTGTGCACCACAGCCTTGAACTTTTGGGCTCAAGTGATCCTCCCGTCTGAGCCTCTCGAGTAGCTGGGACTACAGGTGTGCACCACCTTACTCAGCAATATAATCGTTTGTTTGTTTGTTGGTTTGTTTGAGACAGAGTCTCACTCTGTCACCCAGGCAGAACTGCAGTGTCACTGTCATGGCTCACTGCAGCCTTGACCTCACTGGCCTCAGGTGAGCCTCCCACCTCTCTCTCCTGAGTAGCTGGGACTACAGGCATGTACTACCATGCCCTGCTAATTTTTCTATTTTTTTGTAGATACAGGATTTTGCCATGTTGCCCAGGCTGGTCTCGAACTCCCGGCTGCCTCAGCCTCCTAAAGTGCTGGGATTACAGGCATAAGCCACCTCATCTGGCCATTTTCATTTTTTAAAACTACAGTGCCTCTCTGGTTTTGTTTGCTGCGAAACTGGAATATTATGGCACATTATTTTACTTGCCAAAGGTTAGCATTTTGATACTTATGAAATATCTACACAGGCCGGGTGTGGTGGCTCACACCTGTAATCCTAGCACTTTGGGAGGCCAAGGCGGACAGATCAGTTGAGCCCAGGGGTTGGAGACCAGCCTGGGCAACATGGCAAAACCCTGTCTCTACAAAAAATACAAAAATTAGCCAGGCGTGGTGGCACGTGCCTGTGGTCCCAGCTACTAGGGAGGCTGAGGTGGGAGGATCACTTGAACCTGGGAAGTTGAGGCTGCAGTGAGCCATAATCCCACCACTGTACTCCAGCCTGCGTGACAGAGTGAGATCCTGTTCACCCCCACGCCCCCACCAAAAAAGAAATATATTTACACATTTCAAGAAAGATTAATTAAACAGCAATGTTTAAAACCGTGATAATCAGAATCTCTTTTAGGTCTTGAGTTTTACTCTTTAATTTTAAAAGCATTTTTTTAAATTAAATTAAAAAAAAAAATTTTAAAGTAGAGATGGGGTCTCCTTGTGTTGCCCAGGCTGGTCTCGAACTCCTGCACTCAAGTGATCTTCCCACCTTGGTCTTCCGATGTGCTGGGATTACAGGTGTGAGCCACCACACCAGCCTATTTAATTATTTAATTTTTTTTTTTTGAGATGGAGTCTCGCTCTTGTTGCCCAGGCTGGAGTGCAGTGGTACAATCTTGGCTCACTGCAACCTCTGCTTCCTGGGCTCAAGCGATTCTCCTGCTTAAGCCTCTTGAGTAGCTGGGACTACAGGTGTGCACCACCACACCAGGCTGATTTTTGTATTTTTAGTAGAGACACGGGATTTTGTCATGTTGGCCAGGCTGGTCTCAAACTCCTGACCTCAAGTGATCCACCCATCTCAGACTCTCAAAGTGCTGGGATTGCAGGCGTGAGCCACCGCACCCAGCCTGGCCTATTTAATTTTAAAAGCATTTCTTATTTCAAAATAACCAAATTGCCGTACATAGAATTGGTTTGTTGAATCTAGAAGATAATTTTATTTCTGAAATATTCTATAGAAACAATGGAATGGGATCATCCAGGATGATTAAATTGTATCTATAAACCATACATAGATACAGTTTTTTCCCCAAAAGAAATGTGCTTGCATGAATTCTTTAAGGTAAGGGAGACTGATAAAGGTTTGATTGTTTTCTTATCAGATTGCATGAGACTCGTTCAGGAGACATCTGCAATGCCTGTGTCCTGCTTGTGAAAAGATGGAAGAAGTTGCCAGCAGGATCAAAAAAAAACTGGAATCATGTTAGTCCATCTTTCTTTTTTCTCAATTATACCTCTACTGTATTTAAAGTAACATTAATTTCCCCCTAATTTAGGAAGTAATATATCCCTAGGGTAGAAAAGTCTGAAAAGAATAAAGAAAAACACTAGCTGCTGTTCAGATATAATGGCCTAACATTTTGGCATCTTTAGAACAGAATAGCCTGGTGTGGCATTTCCTTAAGGCTGTATCCAATATCCCCCTTCTGGAGATTCACAGTAAGCATTCACCTGTTTTTAGGCTTAACTCAGTAATTCCCAGAGTTAATTAGACATGAATTCTTTTTCTTAAATCTCTTTGGATAACATGATCCTTTGAACTCAGGTTGGTACTAATGAACATGTAGATCAGACTTGAATTTGAATTTTGCCTTTACCACTTACTAGTTGTGGATTTTGGGCAGGTTATATTTATTCATGAAGTGCAAAGATAATAGCTCTCTTACAGAGCTATTGTGAGAACTGGATGAGATGGTGTATAGAAAGTATAACACAGTTATCGTTCACACTAGCCTTACATTGTCCTTTGATGACAGTGTTATGTTATTATAATAGGTCATGATTTTGAAGATGATAACAACCTTCCTTTTTACATGGGGTAGAAATCTGCAGCTAATAAATGTGAATGAATACCTAAGAAACAGGACCATATGGGGCGAGATCAATGGCTGGGCTAGACTGTGGGAGAACATGCTATTGCTGTCGTGTAACTCACCTCAGAGATTAAGGTGTAAAGTGAAAAAAGCATAAAGAATAGGCCTGAAGACCTTGATTCCAATCTTCTCCCCTCTCCACCCCTCTTACCCATTTACTCGCTTGGTGAAATAAGGCAAAATGCATAATTTATCTTTGCCTTGTTTTCCTTCTGTCTAAAATTGGAGTAACAAAAGTAGCTCTATTTTTTGCTTTGTACTAAATATAAAAAGTATATGAAAGCTTTTCGTAAACTGCAAAACATTATCCTGTAGAAATGGAGTTGTTTTTAGGTTTGATTCTTAACCTAGCTGGGTCATCCAGTAATGATTATCCCATATACAAATCTATTTAAATTTTTTTCCAATAGACTCCCACTATTACCCACTTCACAGGAAAGAATATCTTTAAAAACCCCAGTAGATAAATATTATTTATTCCCTTATGTCATGTGATGATTAAAGGTGCACATGGAGCTTCATCCTCTTTTCAGTATAAAACTGTGGTTCTCAAATAGGCACGGATCTGAACCAAAGGGATACACTGGTGTCATTTTAAAAATATTATTAAATATTCAGTATTTTCTTCCAGGTGGTAGATGCAAGGGCTGGACCCAGTCTAAAGACTACATTGAAACCAAAGAAAGTGAAAACTCTATCTGGGAACAGGATAAAAAGCAACCAGATCAGTAAACTGCAGAAGGAATTTAAACGTCATAGTAAGTTTGATATTACAACATTAGTACTTAATAATTGTTTTGTTATTTTTGGCTGGGGGTGGTGTATGGCATGTGTGGATCATTTTTTCCTTTATTGCTTTTTATAAAGAGCACTGGAAGGCAACGTTGACTTGGTAGAGATGTTATCTTATTTCTGTGAAATGTTGGCACTTTTTCTGATTTTGATGTCTCAAGAGAGTATTTCTACTAGCTAACCACTTCAGATTGTACTGAGACCACCCTGATGTCTTTATTGACATCTTAATTTTCTAGAAGGTGCATTTCTAGCTCATTTACTTGATTTTTATCCATAAGGAAATTGAGTCCTGCAGATGTGCAAGAAGGTACGTAAAGGGGACAATCTGAGACCAAAGTCCAGATTTTCTGGAAAGTAACTTTAGAAATCATAACGCACATATTGAAATTCAGCCAACCTCAGGGCTTGCTTTCAGGTTTAAGGGGCAGTGTGTGTTGTGTGATAGAATGAGAAAGGAATGTCTAATTAATTAATGTCAGGTCACATGCTATTATTGGAAGTTTTGGGGGGTTGCTGTAATGGCACATCTGTATTTTGGAATTGAGATTTTAGATTTTGAAAAGGAAATACACTGCATATAATGTTATTGTCTAATAAATATCTCTATTACCCTTGGGGTTTGAAGGAGCATTATTGAACCAAACACATTAGTATTTTTACAGCAAAAAGTAGCAGTATTCACATTTAGTGGAATAAATAGATGGTACATAGGCTAGTCAGGTTTGTCTGCTTATAGTCATAGTTTAGGTCATGCCAGATTTTGTGGCCAAATAGGTTAGGAATATACTTTCTGTTTCCAGAGCTTTCTCAGAATTGCGGCTAGGGGTTGTGGATCTCTATTGG
This sequence comes from Homo sapiens, assembly GCF_000001405.40. Taxonomy (NCBI): domain Eukaryota; kingdom Metazoa; phylum Chordata; class Mammalia; order Primates; family Hominidae; genus Homo; species Homo sapiens. The sequence continues at coordinate 31,292,924 of NC_000012.12, read as the reverse complement.
AGCTCTCAGTACTTTTAAAAAATCTATAGGGCCCTGTTAGAGAGAACATTATCAATCAAGACATGGTTATCATGCTTGTTTTAGAATAATGGAAAAAGACATCTAAGTTTAGTGACGGTAAAGTGAGGAGTGCAGGAGAACTCAACATTTTTTGAGCATTTTGGTATACTAAGCACTTTACATATGTAATCTCAGTTATTTCCATCTTAGAGCTCAGAATAGGAGGCACAAAGAGGTGATTTAAACTTGATCTGGGCCACTTAATAAGTGGTAGAGATGTAAAATATTTAGGAAATATAAATTTGTATATGTATTTTAATTATACACTTACCTTTCCTAACCAGCTCTCAACCCCCCATCTCCCTAAAGATTTAACTCTACCTTCCATTCTCACTAGATATTTTCTTTTATTTCTTTTTTTTTTTTGAAACAGGGTCTCGCTCTGTCACCCAGGCTGGAGTACAGTGGTGTGATCTTGGGTCACTGCAGCCTCTGCCTCTGGGGTACAAGCAATTCTTGTGCCTCAGCCTCCTGAGTAGCTGGGACTACAGACATGCACCACCATGCCTGGCTAATTTTTGTATTTTTAGTAGAGTTTGGGTTTTGCCATGTTGCCCACGCTGGTCTCAAACTGAGCTCAAGCAATCCACCCACCTCGGCTTCCCAAAAGTGCTGGGATTACAAGTGTGAACCATCACACCCAGTCCTCACTAGATGTTTTAATGAACATTTGGGAAACATTAATTTTCTTTTATCACTTGAAGGCCGAGGAACTGATTATTCATATGTATATTCTTAGCCCTTTCCCTTAATTATAGAGAAAGTGATATCTCACTTTTGTCTTACTTAAGGGAATATTCAGTGTAATTTTAGATTTTTATTATGAAACTGTGCTGTGTAGTAGTTAGAGACTGAAAATAAATTCCTTTGATAATAAGGTGTGTAGATTGTGGAGGCTCAGACTGAAACAGGGTGTTCACCAGGTACAGTATAAATTGCTGGCACCTTTGTGCATTGAAGCAGTTGGGAAACATGTGAATTTTTATATATCACCCACTAAATGGTCTGTGCTTCTGGTTATGTGTTTGCTTCTGTGTATCCTGCACATACCAGGCCTGTATTCTCTTCTTTCTTTCTTTTTTTTTTTTTCTGAGATGGAGTCAAACTTGCTCTGTCAACCAGGCTGGAGTGCAGTGCAGTGGCACGGATCTCAGCTCACTGCAACCTCCCCCTACTGGGTTCAAGCGATTCTCCTGCCTCAGCCTCCCGAGTAGCTGGGATTACAGGTGCATGCCACCACACCCAGCTAATTTTTGTATTTTTAGTAGAGACAGAGTTTCGCCATGTTGGCCAGGCTGGTCTTGAACTCCTGACCTCAGGTGATCTGCCCTCCTTGGCCTCCCAAAGTCCTGGGATTTCAGGCGTGAGCCACCGTGCCCAGCCCTGTATTCCCTTTTCAAGACATTTTGTGGTGTACTGAAAAGGCATTGGACCTAGAGTTACAGATCTGGATTTGAATATCAGCTCTTGTCACTAGCAAATGTGTAACTCTGGAGTCACTTGACGTTTAACCATAATTTTCTAATCAGAGAACTGGGGATAATCAAGTAAAAAATGGCTTTGTAAAACAAAATAAATTCGTCTATAAATGTTAGCTATTCTTTTTGTGTCATCCTTTTCAAAATCTGCAGTGATTTCTGCTTACTATAAAATATGGTTGAGAATTCCTAGAAAGTGTTTGAAGGTCCTATTTTTGTTTGAGCTGAGTCAGTTCCTGGAGTGTTTTTGGCTTCCACAGCTTTGCTCATTGACTTTGCCCATTGTCCCTACCGACTTGATGCCATCTAATCACTCCTTGGTGCCTTCTAAATCCTACGTAATTTTTAAGACTTAAAATTGCAGTTTGGGCTGGGCATGGAGGCTTACACCTCTAATCCCAGCACTTTGGGAGGCCGAGGCAGGTGGATCACCTGAGGTTGGGAGTTTGAGACCAGCCTGACCAACATGGAGAAACCCCGTGTCTACTAAAAATACAATATTAGCTGGGCGTGGTGGTGCATGCCTGTAATCCCAGCTACTTGGGAGGCAGAGGCAAGAAAATTGCTTGAACCTGGGAGGCAGAGGTTGTGGTGAGCCGAGATTGTGCTATTGCACTCCAGCCTGGGCAACAAGAGCAAAACTCCGTCTCCGAAAACAAAAACAAAACAAAACAAAAATGGTCAGATAATTGAAATTTCAAATAGTTTAAAGATATTAAGCACTTCCTAGGAGAGTGAGTTTTCCTCAGCAGCATAGAGGTGTCTGTTGATGTTAATTATTTAGGAAGTCTTAAACATCCCACTAGACTCATTTTTTTAAAACCTGCTACTCTTGAGGATTTTGTTTGCTAAGTTAACATATTAAAAATACTAACGGGGCTTTCTTTTAGATACCTAATTTTATGCTGTTTTATGTAAATATTTGTAAATATAAAATATTTGTGAGCTCTATTCAGAAAACGTTTTCTTGACTGGGTGTGGTGGCTCACACCTGTAATCCCAGCACTTTGGGAGGCCAGGAGTTCAAGACCAGCCTGGCAAACATGGCGAAATCCTGTCTACTAAAAATATAAAAAAATTAGTTGGGTGTGGTAGTGCACACCTGTAGTTGTAGCTACTCGAGAGGCTGAGGCATGAAAATCCAAGAGGTTGGAGGCTGCAGTGAGCTGAGATCCAGCCACTGCACTCCAGCCTGGGCGACAGAGTGAGACTCTGTTTTAAACAAACAAACAAACAAACAAACAAAAACAAAAACATTTTCTTGGCTAGGTGTGACCATGCCTGTAATTGCAGCACTTTGGGAGGCCGAGGTGGGAGGATCGCTTGAGGCTAGGAGCTCCAGACCAGTCTGGGCAAATAACGAGACCTTGTCTCTGCTAAAAATTAAAAAAATAACCAGCCGAGTGTGGTGGTGTGTGCCTGTGGTCCCAGCTACTCAGGAGACTGAGACGGGAGGATTGCTTGAGCTCAGGAGGTTGAGACTGCAGTGAGCTGTGGTCATGCCACTGCACTTCAGCCTGGGTGACAGAGTGAGATCCGGTCTCAAGGAAAACCAAAAGATAAAAATAATTAAAAAAAAAAAAAAACCCAAATTTTCTTTAGTCTGTTTCTTTCCATGCAGCATGTAACATAGGATTTGATGCCTTATAAATATTTAATAAGTACTTGATTGGTTATCTGAATGGAAGGATTGCTCTGTCAACGTGTCCTGGGATGGGCAAGGTGTATGGTAGGCCCCACCTGTGTTTATGAGGTTTATGATACTGCTCTTGCTGTGACGTGGCAGTACAACAGCCTTATAGCACAATGACTGTTAACTAAGAAACTTATTTTCTGGCTTGTACATTTATCTGACATCTTCACATAAACAGGCAAAGTATTAAATCAGGGTTAGCTCTGCATCTAATGAACTGCCTTTATTCCTTATTAAATCAGGATCTTTTGTTTTCTCTTTATAGGTATAATGTCATTATTCTTTGGCTGCTTTCAAGATTTTTCTCTTGGTTTAGTTTATAGAGGCTTAATTATGACGTGTTTTGGCATGGATTTCTTTGGGTTTATTCTGTTGGGCTTTGGTTAGCTTCTTGAGTCTTAGGTTTATGTCTCGCCAAATTTCACAAGTTTTCAGCCACTATATTTGAGTACTTTTTCACCTCTATTCTCTTTTTCCTCTCCCTCCAGGACTGCAATGACATGAATGTAGATGTATGTTTGACTAAGCTCCACAGGTTTCTCCTGCTCTGTTCATTTGTTTTCTGTGTCGTTCATATGGGGCAATTTCTGTTGTTCTTTCTTCCAGTTCACTGTTTGTTTTCTCTCTCCCCTCCATGTTGCTCAGCCCATCCACTGTGGTTTTTATTTTCTTTATTGTATTTTTTTCAGTTACAAATTTTCCATTTATTTTTTCCTTATAGTTTTCTATCTTATTTTTACTGAGGCTTCCTATTTCTTTGCCAAGCCTATGTTTTCATTTATTTCAAACATGTTCATAATTGCTCACTGAAGCATTTTTGTCGTGGCTGCTTTAAAATCTTGGTCAGATAATTCTAATGTCTTTGTCATCTTAGTGTTGGCCTTTTCATTTAGTTTGAGATCTTCCTGATTCTTGGACTGATGTAATTTTTTATTGAAACCTGGACATTTTCAGATTATGTTGTGAGACTCTGGGTCTTATTTAACCCTTCTATTTTAACTGGCTTTTTTGACACCCCTCAGGGCAGGGAAAGAGGGAGGGGCCTCACCACCCTATTACTTACCGCCAGGTGTTAGAATTCCAGTTTCTCTCTCAACCTCCATTGACATCTGAGGTTGGGGGGAGGGGGAGGCTCCTTGTTACTACTGGATGTCAGGAGAGAGTTCAGGCTACCACCTGGTGAGGGTGGCCTTGTACTTAGTGGGCCATAATGAAAATCCTGACTTCGCTAGGCTTCCTCTGACACCACCCTGGTATAGGTGTTGGGGTGCTTCCTAAGTCTTGTGAGGGTGGAAATGTAGGCTCTTCACCTCAGCCTCTGCTGGGGTTAGGAAAGGTGTCCACAGTTTTTTCCGTGGGTTTGGCTGGAACAGGAAGGTTAGTGTTCAGAAATGTTTTCTGTCTGGCTAGGCTGCCCTTTTCCTAGTTCTTTGCTAGAGAGATCAGGTTTTAATTGGGGTTTTGGATTTTTGTTTTGTTGTTGTTGTTTTGATTGTCTGTACACATTGGCATTTCTGGGTGGCTGCTGTTTCACTTCCAAAGCTGGGGATTATGAGGCAAAAGGAAAATCCAGAAAAACTAAGGAACCTACCACCATGGCTTGCCTTGGGTCTTGAGCTCCCTAGATGATCATCACCTTTTGGAGTCTCAGGTTTGTTTTATATATAATATCCAGGGATTTTAGTTGTATAAGCAGGAGGAATAGGAAGTATGTCTATTCCATCTTCTTCACTTCTTTAAAAAACACGTTAGTCTGAATATCTTCAAATATCAGTAGTGCATAGAAAATGAATTATTTTTTACTTTTTCTTTTTTACCAACTCTTTCACAGTGTCTTATGCTGAGGTTTAGTTGCAATTACATGTAATGAAATTGAAAATTTTATTTTTTCTCTTAATCTTTATTGCAGATTCTGATGCTCACAGTACCACCTCAAGTGCCTCCCCAGCTCAATCTCCTTGTTACAGTAACCAGTCAGATGACGGCTCAGATACAGAGATGGCTTCTGGTTCTAACAGAACACCAGTTTTTTCCTTTTTAGATCTCACTTACTGGAAAAGGTAAAAGAAACAAAGTATCTCTCTAACCAGCAAACCATCTTAATTATGGGCAGTATTTTTCTACTTCCTTAGCAATTAAATGGCATTTGGCAAACAGTTGGTAACACACGATTGCAGTGGATTAAGCAGGAATTGAGCAGGGAAGTGGGATTTTTGTATGTTCTTCCTATTAAAATTTATTTAAAATAAAAATCACATCAAGGTACCTACATTGCCTATTGCTAGATAAGTGGAGTAGAAAGACAATATGCAGTGGAGAGAATCAGTAAAACTAAGAGTTGGTCCTTCAAAAAGACGTGACCAAAAATATACTAGAGATAAAGTGGATCAGGAAAAGGAGATAATACACATAAGCAATTTTAGGAAAGAGAAAAGAGACTTAGGTATAGATAAAGCAGACATTTAAAAAATAATAGGATATTATAGACAACTTGATGCCAATAAATTTGAACATACAGGTGAAGCAGGTACAGTACTAGAAAAAAGACATGTTGCTAAAGCTGTCTCAAGAAAAAGTGAAAAACGGAGATAATCTCATAATAAATTGATTCAGGCCAGGTGTGATGGCTCACACCTGTAATCCTAGCATTTTGAGAGGCCAAGGTGAGGGGATTGTTTGAGCCTAGGAGGTTAGGTTTGCAGTAAGCTATTTTTGCACCATTGCACTCCAGCCTGGTGATAAAGCAAGACTCTATTTAAAAAAACAAACAAACAAACAAACAAACCACAATAGGCAAGTTGTACTAAACATCCAGGAACAGATGATTGGAGCCTATGCACTGGCTTTTCCAGACTATGGATAAAATAGGGCATAGGCCCCAAGCATTTTTAAGGCTGATATAAGTTTGATACCAAAACAAATATATCATCAGCCACTAGGGTTATTCTAGGTATGTAAGATTGGTTTGAACATGAGACGATCAACTAATATAATTTACCACATTGACAGTTTCTTTTTTTTTTTTTTTTTTGAGACGGAGTTTTGCTCTTGTTGCCAAGCTATAGTGCAATGGCTCGATCTCTGCTCACTGCAGCCTCTGCCTCCCGGGTTCAGTGATTCTCCTGCCTTAGCCTCCCGAGTAGCTGGGATTACAGGTGCATGGCCACCACACCTGGCTAAATTTTTGTATTTTTAGTAGAAAAGGGGTTTCACCATGTTGGTCAGGCTGGTCTCGAACTCCTGACCTTAGGTGATCCACCTGCCTCAGCCTCCCAAAGTGTTGGGATTATAGGCGTGAGCCACCGTGCCCAGCCCACATTGATAGTTTCTAAAGGAAGGTGTTGTCTTCTTAGTGGTGCAAAGAAGGAGTTTGACAAATTTGAACATTCCTTTAAGGTTTAAAAAAAAAAAAGTTTTAGCAAAATAGGAATAGAAGGAAACTTTTTTACTTAGACAACAGGTATCTTACAAAAAGGACAAAAGTACATAATACATAATTGTGATAAAATGAAAGCATTTTCTCTATGATCAGGAACAAATCAAGAGTGTTGACTATCACCATTTCTATTCAGCATTATACAGAAGGTTCTAACCAATACAATATTGGTAGTAGTGTAGTAGTAAACACTTTAGAACAGTGCCTAGTGCATAGTGTAAGTACTTTAAAGTACTTTAAACCACTTTGTTTGCATTTATTTAATCTTTTTTTTTTTTTTTTTGAGACAGAGTTTCACTCTGTAGCCCAGACTGGAGTGCAGTGGTGTTATCTTGGCTCACTGCAATGTCCGCCTCCTGGGCTCAGGCAATTCTCCCACCTCAGCCGCCCAAATAGCTGGGTCTACAGGCACGCACCACCATGCCTGGCTAATTTTTGTATTTTAGTAGAGATGGGGTTTCGCCATATTGGCCAGGCTGGTCTTGAACTTCTAGCTTCAAGTGATCTGCCTGCCTTGACCTCCCAAAGTGCTGGGATTACAGGTGTGAGTTACTGCACCTGGCCTTATTTAGTCTTTATGACAATTCTGTGAAGCATTATGTGAAAACACAGGTACAAAGAGGAAGTACTTTGTTTAAGGTTACATAGTAAGTAGAGCAGGATTTAAATCTAGGCAGTTTGGCATTAGAATGATACATTTTATCATAGTGTTAGGAAATATAAAATAATGTAGTAAAATATCAAAAGCCCTTTGGAGGAGTTATGTAAAAATCATACAATATTGTCGAATAACATTTATTTATGTGTGTGTGTGTGTGTGTGTGTGTGTGTGTGTGTGTATGTATATATATAAATATATGTCTATGTTGAGAGAGAGAGACTCACTCTGTCACTTAGGCTGGAGTGCAGTGGTGTGATCTTGGCTCACTGCAACCTCCGCCTCCTGGGTTCAAGCGATTTTCCTGTCTCAGCCTCCGGAGTAGCTGGGATTACAGGCATGCACCACCACACCCTGCTAATTTTTGTATTTTTAGTAGAGATTGGGTTTCACCATGCTGGCCAGGCTGATAGTGAACTCCTGACCTCAGGTGATCTGCTCGCCTTGGCCTCCCAAAGTGCTGGGATTACAGGCATGAACCACTGCGCCCGGCCGTTGAATAACATTTAAAGACACCTAAATAAATTGAGAGGTATAGCACATTCATAGATATTATTAAACTGACTGTTAGGGAGATGATCACTTTGTAGATTCAGGGTAATTGCAGTCAAAATCCCAACATATTTATGGAACTTTACAAGCTAATTTATAATTTATATAGAAAAGCAAAGGGCCCAAAATAGGCATCTTCAGAAGAAAAAGAAAGATGTGGATAAACTTGCCCTAACAGAAATCAAGACATATTATGAAGCCATGGTAATTAATGTGTTTTGGGACTAGGAATAGAAAAATAAACCAATGGAATAGTATAGAGAGCCTGGAAACAAGGCCACATATGTATATAGCACTTGTTATGTGATACATGATGTGGGGGTGATTGGTGGGCGAAAATGGTCTGTTCAATAAGTGTTGCTAGGATATTAAGAACAACATGGTTATTCATGTGGAAAAATTGGGCTTGGGTTCCCTACCTCACACCATAGACAAACACCAATTACAGATGCATTAAAGTAGAAAATAGATTATGACTTTTGAGTGGGAAAGGATTTTTTTATGACAGAGTACTTAAGCATTTAAAAAAACCTCCAGGTTTAATTACATTATAATTATGAACTTAAATTCATCAAATAATACCATAAAGAAAATGAAATGATATCCAGCACATATATCTGACAAAGGATTAGTATCTGGAATATACAGACAACTCCTACAATGGAAGAAAAAGATAAACCAACAGAAAAATGGACACACTTAGAAAGGAATCATGAAATAACTCATTAAATGATAATGTGTTCAAACTTTTTGAAAATCAAGGAAATACAAAGTAAAATTTCAATGAGATACCATTTTATACTCATTAGATTGGTGAAAAAACTAAAATAAAGTCTATTACCAAATGTTGGGGAGAAGGTATGGAATGATGAGAACACTGTCAGTTATAGGTGTAAATAGTTATAACCATGTAGATAAATGGCCGTTTTTGAGTAAAGTTGAAGACGTTCCCATTCCTATATGCCAGCAATATAAACTAGTAAAAACCTTTAAGATGTGTCCACTGATTTATACATTAAAATAAGAGTAGATAAATAAAACTGTGTTATATATTCACAGGGTAGAATATTATACATGTTAAAATGAAATAAAGCTCTATAACAATATGTATGGATCTCAACGTTGACTAAAACATTGCAGAATACATTGTGATTCTGTGTGTGTGTGTGTGTGTGTGTGTGTGTGTGTGTGTAATGGATAACTGTGCAGTATGATTAGAGATGCCAACATACGGTGAAACCATGAAGTATAAAGAAAAGGGAGTGATAAACCTAAAATTAAGTGGGGAGAGGATGAGATGAGGTAGGATGGGACTGTGGAGGGGCCTGCAGGGGGCTTCATAGGAAATGATCTTTTTTCCCTTAGAGTATGTGGTCTGTAGGCATTCTCATTGTGTTGTCATTTTTGATGCCTTTGCTAACACACACCCTTTTTTGTTTTTTTTTGAGACAGAGTTTTGCTCTGTCTCCCAGGCTAGAGTGCAGTGGTGTGATTTCGGCTCACTGCAACCTCCACTTCCTGGGTTCAAGTGATTCTACTGCCTCAGTCTCCCAAGTAGCTGGGACTACAGGCACGTGCCACCACGCCTGGCTAATTTTTGCATTTTTAGTAGAGATGGGGTTTCGCCATGTTGGCCAGGCTGATCTCGAACTCCTGACCTCAAGTTATCTGCCCACCTCAGCCTCCCAAACTGCTGGGATTACAGGTGTAAGCCACCACACCCGGCCCACACATGTATTTTTATCTACTCAGTATTTAATTAAAAATTACCACTCAAGCACTTAGGAGTTGATAAAGAAAAAAAATTAAATATATATAAAAAATTGCTAGCTGCATCAGCCTGTTTATGGTGGCTGATTTTTTTTTCAAGAGTTGGTGATTTTGGAGGAAATAGTTAACAACATCAGGGGCAGCCTTTGAAACTGACTGCTGTCTTTCAAAATGCCGTCTTCCTCAATATTTGAGAAGATTCCAGTGTGGCCTTTAAGGCAACTGGGTAATTCCCCTTCTCTAGCTAATTGGGGTTACTCTAGGAGCCCTTTCACTTGGAATGTGCAAGATTGTAGAAGCACAACTCTTTGGTTATATTGGACTAGTTATAATAGTGAGTAGATTTCTTTTGTATTCCTATTTTTCTTCCTTATTAATGTATCTTGTTCTCCATTTTTTCTTTTAGACAGAAGATATGTTGTGGGATCATCTATAAAGGCCGTTTTGGGGAAGTCCTCATTGACACACATCTCTTCAAGCCTTGCTGCAGCAATAAGAAAGCAGCTGCTGAGAAGCCAGAGGAGCAGGGGCCAGAGCCTCTGCCCATCTCCACTCAGGAGTGGTGACTGAGGTTTTTATGTAGAAGGGGAACAAAAAAAAAAATATCTGAATTTTGAAAAACCACAAAGCTACAAACTGACCCTCTTTTTTTTTTGAGACGGAGTTTTGCTCTTGTTACCCAGGCTGGAGTGCAGTGGCGTGATCTTGGCTCACTGCAACTTCCGTCTCCCGGGTTCAAGTGATTCTCCTGCCTCAGCCTCCCAAGTAGCTGGGTTTATAGGTGCCCGCCACCAGACCCGGCTAATTTTTTAGTTTTAGTAGAGACGGGGTTTCACCACGTTGGCCAGGCTGGTCTTAAATGACCCTCTTATTTTTAACTTGGATACCTGCTATTCTGCCAAAAGACAATTTCTAGAGTAGTTTTGAATGGGTTGATTTCCCCCACTCCCACAAACTCTGAAGCCAGTGTCTAGCTTACTAAAAAAAGAGTTGTATATAATATTTAAGATGCTGAGTATTTCATAGGAAAGCTGAATGCTGCTGTAAAGTGCTCTTTAAGTCTTTTTTTTTTTTAATCCCCTTCTAATGAATGAAACTAGGGGAATTTCAGGGGACAGAGATGGGATTTGTTGTATGATAAACTGTATGTAGTTTTTAGTCTTTCTGTTTTGAGAAGCAGTGGTTGGGGCATTTTTAAGATGGCTGGCTACTCTTGTTTTCCCTCATGATAATAAATTTGTCATAACTCAGTAACATGAACTTGCCCCTAGAGGTAGTTGTTAATAATTTTGAAATATTAAGGTCTTGCCAAGCTTCTGATGATTCACACCTGTACTACTGATTATTAAGCAGGACAGACTGAGCTTTCTGTTGCAAATACCTTGGAGGAGAAAGTAATTTCTAAATATACAGAGAGGTAACTTGACTATATATGTTGCATCCTGTGCCTCCCTTCATATTAATATTTGATAAAGATTTTAATTTATGTAAAACTTCTAAAGCAGAATCAAAGCTCCTCTTGGGGAAATGGCAAGTCTTTAGGATAGGCAAGACCCTGTATGAATAGTACCAAAGCATTACCGCATGGTAGAGAACACACTCGATTAAAAATGTTAAGCTATCTGAAAAATAAAATGTGCAAGTCTTCAGGATGGCACAAAACAAAGGTTAATGCTTCTTGGGGCACATTTCTTAGAGGGCTTGCTGAGTGTGTAAATATAATCGACTTTTGTTTGTGTTACATGACTTCTGTGACTTCATTGAAAATCTGCACAATTCAGTTTCAGCTCTGGATTACTTCAGTTGACCTTTGTGAAGGTTTTTATCTGTGTAGAATGGGTGTTTGACTTGTTTTAGCCTATTAAATTTTTATTTTCTTTCACTCTGTATTAAAAGTAAAACTTACTAAAAGAAAAGAGGTTTGTGTTCACATTAAATGGTTTTGGTTTGGCTTCTTTTAGTCAGGCTTTCTGAACATTGAGATATCCTGAACTTAGAGCTCTTCAATCCTAAGATTTTCATGAAAAGCCTCTCACTTGAACCCAAACCAGAGTACTCTTACTGCCTCTTTTCTAAATGTTCAGGAAAAGCATTGCCAGTTCAGTCTTTTCAAAATGAGGGAGAAACATTTGCCTGCCTTGTAATAACAAGACTCAGTGCTTATTTTTTAAACTGCATTTTAAAAATTGGATAGTATAATAACAATAAGGAGTAAGCCACCTTTTATAGGCACCCTGTAGTTTTATAGTTCTTAATCTAAACATTTTATATTTCCTTCTTTTGGAAAAAACCTACATGCTACAAGCCACCATATGCACAGACTATACAGTGAGTTGAGTTGGCTCTCCCACAGTCTTTGAGGTGAATTACAAAAGTCCAGCCATTATCATCCTCCTGAGTTATTTGAAATGATTTTTTTTGTACATTTTGGCTGCAGTATTGGTGGTAGAATATACTATAATATGGATCATCTCTACTTCTGTATTTATTTATTTATTACTAGACCTCAACCACAGTCTTCTTTTTCCCCTTCCACCTCTCTTTGCCTGTAGGATGTACTGTATGTAGTCATGCACTTTGTATTAATATATTAGAAATCTACAGATCTGTTTTGTACTTTTTATACTGTTGGATACTTATAATCAAAACTTTTACTAGGGTATTGAATAAATCTAGTCTTACTAGAAAATAAAAGGAGCTGTTTTGTGGCTTTGTTTGACAGGTCTTCAGTAAGAATAATGTTTTTGGCTTTCACATATACTCAGTTTAAGTGCTTAGTATTAATAACAAGCCATGAAGGGAATAAATTCCTCTTCACTGAGACATAGACTTTGGAATAAAAGACATTTTAACTGATGTGCACAATTATTAATCTAGTGGATAAGATGGATTTAAAAGGAAGAACAAAATGTTCCCAGTACTTTTTACTGTCTGTGGTTTTATTACTATCTATGGGCATAGTGGGAAGCATCATTGAGACTTTAGGGAAACTATAAAAGTTGGAAGGGTGGTGGCATCAGGGGTTGGATGCTGGTTCTCAAGTTCCTAGCTCTGCCCCTTGTTAGTCATTTGAGTTAAATAATTAATGGGAATATCTACTTCACAGGATTATGAGGAATCCTAAGAGGTGTAATCCATATCAAACTTTTAGAAACCAGTTGTTTTATTACCTGGGAAAGGTAATAAAGGGCCAGACTTTTTATACTACTGTTAGTATTTAAATTTGGGATAGTCTGGATGCCACCTAATACAGTTACTATGAAATTAACAAGGTAACTAAGGAAGTTGATAGTACCAGTATTATCTATTGCTATGTCCTAAATTACCATAGATTTAGTGGCTTAAAACAAATGCGTCTCAGTTTCTGTCTGAGCATGGTTTAGATAGGTCCTTTAGAAAGCTCATGGTCTCATCTGCATTCTCACCTGGTGATTTGGGAAGAACTCATTTCAGCCTCACTCGGCTGGCAGAATTCAGTTCTTGCCACTGCAGGACTGAGTGTCCAGACCTCTCACTGGTTGTCAGCTGGAGGCCCCCGCTTAGTTCCTTGCCAGCTGGGTGCTCCCTGCATGGCCTGGCTGCTGACTGGACCACTGACATGATTACTGTCACTACCAGCAAGTGTCGAGAGCCAAGCTGCCAGCAAGAGGGGTCTTTTCAGGTCCTGCCCATATCCAAGGGGAGAGGCTCATACGAAGGATTGGATACCAAGAGGTGCGGGTGGGGCTAATGGGAAGGCACCTAGAGTTTGTCACAGCTTTTTTTTTTTTTAACTGAATCTCTTTAAATTGGTCGTCTCGCCCTACAATGCAAATGCTTTGTGTAGCAAGTAAAAAGAAAAATGGCTCTCACAATATGAAAAACCCTGGCTGGGCACTGTGGCTTATATAAACCTGTAATCCCAGCACTTTGGGAGGCCCAGGCGGGTGGATCCCTTGAGGTCAGGAGTTCAAGTCCAACCAGGCCAACATGGTGAAACACCGTCTCTACTAAAAATAAAAAAATTAGCCAGGCATGGTGGCATGCGCCTGTGGTCCCAGCCACTCGAGAGATTGAGGCAGGAGAATTGCTTGAACCTGGGAGGTAGAGGTTGCAGTGAGCTGAGTTGGGCCACTGCACTCCAGTCTGGGTGACAGAGTAAGACTCCACCTCCAAAGAAAAAAAAGAAAAGACCTACTGTTGGGCCAGACACTTTTAAACATTGTTTAAGTAACCCTGCAAAGTAAAAAAAAATCTATTTACCGGTAAGAGGAGGTGCCAGGAGGTCATGTAACTTGAATGAAAGAATCTGCTTTTCTTATTTGAAAGCCTTTGTTCTCTAAACTGTCTCCTGTCTGCTGCAGTAATGCTGTCCTAACCCTCATTGGAAACTATTCCCTGGGTCTCTTCTTGCCTCCCTTCTTTCTGAAGGCTGAAATGAGGGGCAAGTTTAACTTTTGCAGATACGTTGATCTTTAACTTAAATCAAATTCTGTTTTTTAATTTTGATAATGTTCAAAGTACCTATTATCTGTCTTTTTGTGGAGAAAACTGCTGGAGGTTTAGTGAAACGATATCTTAAAACAATTCATCAAGGTGGCTGCTCTGCAGTGAACAATAGAAGGTACCCTGGGAGCTCTTCTATTCAGCGTCCCTAGAACAGTTTCCTAGTGCCCCAGATTTAGCATTGTAGTGGCCAGGCAATCATTTTTGTGTGATGTTCAGTGAACTCGGAAGGGAGGAGAAAGCCAAATTAGATCAAAGATAGATAATTTCACAGGCTCATGTTCTCAAAGAAAGGGATCTGCGGGTTCTGTCTAACAATTTCTCAAGCTGTGGAGTTTGGTTACTCATTGTAGTCATGAGAATGCTTTAGGTATCAAATACCTTACACCCTGGTTAGAAACTGCTTGTTATTGTATGTTGACTAGGGGGTCTTAGACAAACTTAGTTGCAAGCTTTAGCATGAAAGAACTTAGTCATTCAGTTTAGAGAGAGACAAAAGATTTTTTTGCGAAAGCCTGCTCTTTATCTGAAAGGGGAAAATGATTTATTCTGTTTTACAGCATTTATTCTCTAAACTTCTATGGCTTATATTAGCTTAACTGTGTCTCCAGGTATTGGCTTTTTTTTTTTTTTTTTTTTCAGACAGAGTCTTGCTCTTGTTACCCAGGCTGGAGTGCAATGGCGTGATCTCGGCTCACTGCAACCTCCGCCTCCTGGGTTCAAGCGATCCTCCTGCCTCAGCCTCCCGAGTAGCTGGGATTACAGGCGCCTGCCACCACGCCCAGCCAATTTTATATTTTTAGTAGAGATAGGGTTTCACCATGTTGGCCAGGCTGGTCTTGAACTTCTAACCTCAGGTGACCCACTTGCCTCAGCCTCCCAAAGTGCTGGGATTATAGACGTGAGCCACCACGCCCAGCCAGTATTGGCTTTTTGCAAATAAAAGAGAAGGATTGTTTTTGCTTACATTTATATTTAAATCTCAAAATAATTAAAACTAAAAAATCTCAAATTATTTAGTAAGTTCCTGGTAGAGTTAAAATAGAAACCTGAAAAATTATACTTTTTTTTTTTTTCCTTTCCTTTTCTTTTTTTTTTTTTTTTTTTTGAGACAGAGTCTCACTGTGTAGCCCAGGCTAGAGAGCAGTGGCTCAATCTCAGCTCACTGCAACCTCTGCCTCCTGGGTTCAAGGGATTGTCCCACCTCAGCCTCCCGAGTAGCTGGGATTACAGGCATGTGCCACCATGCCTGGCTAATTTTTGTATTTTTTGGTAGAGACAGGGTTTCGCCATGTTTGCCAGGCTGGTCTCGAACTCCTGACCTCAAGTGATCTGCTCGCCTCAGCCTCCCAAAGTGCTGGGATTACTGGTGTGACCCACCATGCCTGGCCATACTGTTTTTTTTTTTTTTTTTCCCCTCAAGTAAGTGTATACTTGGCCTCCAATTAACTTTACAAATCTCTTCAATGTTGATCTGTCACTGATGGCTTCTTCATGAGACATTCCAAAGCCTTTATCTTATTTACCCAGCCTCTCCACAGTACTTAATACGATTGACAGTTTCTTTCTTGAAATACTCTTGGTTGAAAACACACTTTCTAGGTTTTCCTTGGACCTCAGATGCTCACTGGCCCAGGCTTCATCTTCAGCCTTCTTCCTAGATTATCTCCATTCCATGGTCCCAGATACCATATGAAATATGCAGACATCTCCCATATCTGTCTCTAGAGATTTTTATCAGTCCTGCTGGCAGGAAATAGATGGCTTACTGAAATTGGATAATTTGAGGAAAGTTTAATAAAAGGACCTTTACAAAGTTGTATGTAGGGTATAGGGAAACCTCAGGGTGAGTTTAGTTCTTGGGACTAGTAACATTGGAGTCCTGTTACTACTACTCCTGGGTCTGAAGATTGAATAGAGGGAGTTGGTTAATGGAACCAGGAGACCAACAGGCTATCTAAAAAGAGTGGGGGCCTGGAGGAAGCAGTAGGAGTAAATATTCTCACTCTCCAGATTGGCCAACTCCATCATTAGTGCCTTCACACCTGTTTGTTTTCTCTGACCCGTTTCCCTACCATCCTATAACTAGGCAACACCTACTTATTTATCCTTCAGGTTTAAGCTGAGGCATTACTTGGGGAAGCATTCCAGAATAATTCCTCTTTCTTCCAACACACACACGTACAAAATAACATGCTACATGGGTTCCAAGAGAGCATGAAGCACTGTTTAGTCACCACTACAGCTCCCAGAGGGGTTGATTAGGATATATTAATAGCAGGGTCACAATAAATATTTATATTGATTGATTGCTTACAACCTGGTATTTTCAGAAATCATATTCTTAGAAGAGTTGAATTTATCCCAACTGTCTTGAATTTTATTCAAGAATGTTAAAAAATACTTTGAAGAAATTTTAAGTACACAGAAAAGTTGAAAGAATAGTATAATAGTATAACTTTCACCTAGATCCACAAATGCAACATTTTACCATATGTGCTTTATCTAATTTCTTTTGCTGAATCATTTGAAAGTAAATTGTAACACCATGATACTTCACCCCTAAATACACATTCATCTAGGAATAAGAATATTCTCCTCCCTAGCCATAATGTCATTGCCATATCTGAGCTGATTAAGAATAACTCAATATCCAATATGATAGATCTGTATGGAATAAATTGTCCCTATCATCCCAAAGTGTCTTTTAAAACATTTTCTCCTCATCCGGGGTCTAGTCCAAGGTTCAGGCATACTTTTGGTTATATCTTTCCTCTTTTAATCTAGAATAGTCCTCTGCTTTTTCTGCCCATGGCAATGAACATTTTGAAGTGTCTAAGCCAATTGTCTTGTAAAATATCCCCTATCCTGGATTTTTCTGGCTATGTTTTATTATTATTATTTTTTATTTTGAGACAGAATATCCCTCTTTTCCCAGGCTGGAGTGCAGTGGCATGATTATAGCTTACTGTAACCCTGAATGCCTGGGCTCAAGCAATTCTCTTGCCTCAGCCTCCTGAGTATCTGGGACTACAGGCCTGTGCCACCATGCCTGGCTATCTTCTTTTTTGGTAGGGATGGGGTCTCACTATGTTGTCCAGGTTTGGTTGTTTTCTTAGTAGATGTGGATTTTACTTTTGGCAAGGATATAGCATAGATTGTGTGGTGCCTCTGTTACTGCATCATGTCAAGAAGCACACAATGTCAGGTTGTCCCACTGTTGGTGATGCTAAGATTAATCGCTGGGTTAAGATCGCCAGATCTTTTTCCATTTTAAAGTATATATCTTTTCTTTTGTAAATGAACAAAATAATCTGTGGGGTAATACTGTGAGACTTTTAAAACAACCTTTCATTGAGCACCTACGTACAAGGCCCTACTAAGTGTTCTAAGTAGTCCCTTGATGCTTGAGAAATCGTGTGGCTAGAATCGTGAAGTCCTTTTTGAGAATCGTAGCATACTAAGATTGTGGGGCTTTTTTCTTGTCATTTAATTGTGTGTGACTTTTATTTTCTATTCAGAAATAAGTATGTAGTGGATGGGGGTAAGGGTTATGTTTGGCACGTGAGCTTATTAGTTAATATCACCAGGGCATAGATGAATAAACAATGGAATTAGAGTCAGGAGACTTGAATTTAAATCCTGGTTTTGCTACTTACTGGCTTTATGATCTTTGATAATTTTTCTCTGAGCTCATTTCCTTTGTAAGTGGAGGAAATAATACCAAACACAGCTGTAGTAAGAGCAAAATGAGGATCATAGAGGGCCTGGCCTATAATAGGTGCACAGTGATAAGCACCTAATGATAAACTTGTTCCCTCATTTGTTCTTTAATCTTTAGGAATGAAGTCTAATTGGATATGCTAAGAATGAAAACTTTTTTGATCTGTAGTTATGATGAACACAGGAAAGGTCTTAAACAGTTCACATCAACAACCACCCCTCTGCCCCCATAAAAAAGCTCAAAGCTTTCTTAGGTTTCAGTGCTTAAAGGAGAATATGTATTCACTACAAGATTATTATGCTTTGGCAGCACATGAATCCCAGGATTGGGAAATTGTAGAGAGGGCATGAAGCTATGCCAGATATAATTAAGCTGCACAAAAAGTATGTTGAAATCCAGAGGGTGGCCAAGATAGGCTCTCAGGATGATTTTTTGAAGGAATGATTATATTAGATTCAGGGAGTACATGTGCAGGTTTGTTACTGGGCTCTATTGCGTGATGCTGAGGTTTGGGGTGTGAATGTCACTCAGATAGTAAGCACAGTACCTAACAGTTTTTCAACCCTTGTCACCTTCCCCCTTCCAGTAGTCCCCACTGTCTGTTGTTGCCATCTTTTTATGTCCATGAGTACCCATGGTTTAGCTTCCACTTATGAATGAGTATATGTGGTATTTGGTTTTCTGTTCCTGTGTTAATTTGTTTCGGGTAGGCCTACCCAAGGATGATTTTTTAAAAATTTTATTATTATTATACTTTAAGTTTTAGGGTACGTGTGCACAACGTGCAAGTTTGTTGCATATGTATACATGTGCCATGTTGGTGTGCTGCACCCATTAACTCGTCATTTAGCATTAGATATATCTCCTAATGCTATCCCTCCCCATTCCCCCCACCCCACAACAGTCCCCAGTGTGTGATGTTCCCCTTCCTGTGTCCATGTTTTCTCATCGTTCAATTCCCACCTATGAGTGAGAACATGCGGTGTTTGGTTTTTTGTCCTTGCGATAGTTTGCTGAGAATGATGGTTTCCAGTTTCATCCATGTCCCTACAAAGAACATGAACTCATCAGTTTTTATGGCTGCGTAGTATTCCATGGTGTATATGTGCCACATTTTCTGAATGCAGTCTATCGTTGTTGGACATTTAGGTTGGTTTCAAGTCTTTGCTACTGTGAATAGTGCCGCAATAAACATACATGTGCATGTGTCTTTATAGCAGCATGATTTATAATCCTTTGGGTATATACCCAGTAATGGGATGGCTGGGTCAAATGGTATTTCTAGTTCTAGATCCCTGAGGAATCGCCACACTGACTTCAAATGTAATCCAGCATATAAACAGAACCAAAGACAAAAATCACATGATTATCTCAATAGATGCAGAAAAGGCCTTTGACAAAATTCAGCAACCCTTCATGCTAAAAATTCTCAATAAATTAGGTATTGATGGGACGTATCTCAAAATAATAAGAGCTATCTATGACAAACCCACAGCCAATATCATACTGAATGCACAAAAACTGGAAGCATTCCCTTTGAAAACGGGCGCAAAACAGGGATGCCCTCTCTCACCACTCCTATTCAACATAGTGCTGGAAGTTCTGGCCAGGGCAATCAGGCAGGAGAAGGAAATAAAGGGTATTCAATTAGGAAAAGAGGAAGTCAAATTGTCCCTGTTGGCAGATGACATGATTGTATACCTAGAAAACCCCATTGTCTCAGCCCAAAATCTCCTCAAGCTGATAAGCAACTTCAGCAAAGTCTCAGGATACAAAATCAATGTACAAAAATCACAAGCATTCTTATACACCAATAACAGACAAACAGAGAGCCAAATCATGAGTGAACTCCCATTCACAATTGCTTCAAAGAGAATAAAATACCTAGGATGGTTTTTGAAGAGTAAAATTTGGCTGTGCTGTAACAGCTCTGTGGAACCAATTCATAAAACATGCTGAAATAGTACAACACACCTCTTAGCCTCAAGGCCCAAAGTTCCAAGCATAGTTATTGAAGCCAGGCCGGTTGCCTGCTTTGGCCAGTCTAGACTCCTTGAACAACTCCAAGGGGGCAAGCACCATTCAAGTTATAGGTTACAGAGATGGTGCTCCTTTTGCCCAGTTATGCTAGTGCTAAAGACAATGCTATTTAAGTGCACAGTTCCAGGGGCGCTTGTGGCTCTAGCAGCTTGAGGCTGCTTCTTTAGCTCTTTATCAGGCAGATTTTCTTCTTCTTCTTCTTCTTTCTAATAGAGCTGGGGTCTCGCTATATTGGCCAGGCTGGCCTCAAACTCCTGGCCTCAGGCCTTCCTCCTGTCTTGGCCTCCCAAAGTGCGGAGATTACAGATGTGAGCTATCACCCCTGGTCCAGGCAGATTTTCTTTATAACTTTTTTTTTTTTGTTCTTTTCCAAGTAAGCCAGTGATGAGAGATGCAGTAAGCATTATCTTTATGACTGTATCTAGAGCATCCTTGGGATGCCAGTTTCAATTGCTAAAAGGAAAAAAGTCTGTCATAATGCAGTTAATTTTTTTTTTGAGACAGAGTCTCTCACCCAGGCTGGAGTGCAATGGCACGATCTCGGCTCACTGCAACCTCCACCTCCCAGGTTCAAGCCATTCTCCTGCGTCGGTCTCCTGAGTAGCTGGGATTACAGGCGTGTGCCACCATGCCCAGCTAATTTTTGTATTTGACGGGGTTGCACCATGTTGGTCAGGGTGGTCTCGAACTCCTGACCTTGTGATCCACCTGCCTCGGCCTCCCAAAGTGCTGGGATTACAGGTGTGAGCCACTGCACCCGGGCAATGCAGTTAATTATAAATTTCATTTTCTTCTGAAGAGCTAAAACTATTTGATATATGATTCCCAGTAAACTATGAATTATTGAGGAGGCTGCCAGGAAGAACTAGCTAAGCCCTTTGCTGCTACTGTGACCAGCAACTTTTCCATCCTGGCCATGCAGCTTCCTTTATCGCGTATTGCCATATGAATGTCCACTAGGTGGTGCTAGTTACACGTCATACTCAGTGTTGTAGGCACATCCAGTTTAACACAGTTTTTATAGATGCAGAAGCTTACCTAATGGTTACCCAGTGAGTTAAAACTGGAGTTATTTCATTGCTTCATCCACAGTCAGCTAAGCAATTATTTCACCTCAACTGTAAACCTTAGAAACACGTTTTAAAAGTTTGGAGAACCTAATTTCTATTTCCCTTTGACCAAGATAATTTTAATCTTTAATAACAGCTAAGAGCCAACCCTTACTTTTTCTGTAATTAATTTTATATTATCACAAAGGAGGAAGAAGGTATATTTGTATCCACCTTCTTCCTTCCCCAAATGCCATTTTCCTAGAAGACTGCCGTTGCGGATAAAGACATGCAATGTGATTTGCAACCCTTGGATATCACAGACATGGTGGCCACATTTCTAAACTTTTAGGACAGCTGGATTTCTGTCCAGTGTATTTTTGGAGATTGAGTTGATGTCATACCATTGAGGCCAGAAGCTACCAAACCTTTCCTAAAGCCTCCAGTCAACCTGGTTGTGAATGCAGCGTGTTGCCACTGTCTTTAAAGCTGTGATTTCTAAAGTTATATGTAAGACTGGCCCATTGAAGTGTGCAAAGTAAAAATTAGAACTCCTATTTCTGTTGATTTTTCCTCATTTTCTCTCCTGTCCTGTTTGTATATGTTTTATAATTTACATAATATTAGCAGAGTCCTACCTGTGCACAGTTCATAACAAGGAAGCATGCTGGGGCACATATACTTTTTTAAAAAAATAATTGGAAAGAGATAAAAAAGGTTTGGAGAGAGCTGCATACTTCTCTGTGCATTACATTTCAATAAGAAGTTTAGTTTACTTTTTTTTTTTGAGATGGAGCCTGCTCTGTCACAGTGCAGTGGTACGATCTCAGCTCACTACAACCTCCGCCTCCCGGGTTCAAGCGATTCTCCTGCCTCAGCCTCCCAAGCAGCTGGCACTACAGGTGTGCACCACCACACTTGGCTAATTTTTGTACTTTTAGTAGAGATGGCGTTCTACCATGTTGGCAAGGGTGGTCTCAAACTCCTGACCTCAAGTGATCCGCCTGCCTCGGCCTTCCAAAATGTTGGGATCACAGGCATGAGCCACTGCGCCTGGCCAGAAGTTTACTTTTTCAAGTACCTGAAGATCACTAATAATTTTAGAGTGATGGAGGGTTGGAAATGGGGGCGTTTATTTTCAAGTCCAAGAGATCATTTTGGTTGGTGAAATATTACAGAAAATGGCCTATGGACCTTTCCTGGATTTGAGGGAGAAGAAGAAATAATAGTTGCCAGAACTGTTTTCTGTTACACGCTGATCAAACGTTTGTTCCCTCTCCCACAGTGTAATGTTTCCTCCCCCTGCCTTTATCGCATACAGTGGTGTGTTTTTCAGAATGGGATATCCTCCTTCGGGAGTAAAGTTATTGAGCATACCTTGTCATTGGTGGAAAGGAAAAACAAATACAAAAACTGGGCAGTTACCTGGGAGCGTCTAGTTTCTTCCTTTGCCTTCCATTCAGTTGGGTAACTACAATTCTCAGCCTCAAATTATTTTTTCTTAATCATGTTGAAAATCCATGGAAAATAGTAAGAATGACCAAACTGGTCTCTTCATTAAGGATGGGTCTCCACATTCGCCGGTTTTACTATTGAGGGCATTGAAATGGGCCATGACAGATAAAGTTACTCACCAGGCTTTTTAAAGAAGGTTGAAAATGGATGGTAGAAAATCAGCAGTTAAATTTAGATTCAGCAGTTGTAAAAATGAAGCTCCACAGCTGCCCTAACATGACAGATAATAAAGAATACAAGAAATACTAGGAAAAGGTTCACCTGGAACAGAATCAAGTCACAATATTGTGGGAGAGATTATCAGTGGATGGAGAAGCCAAGAAAACTTATTTCAGGGAAAACAAATGTGATTCCATAACTTAGCAGTGCAGTAATAGATGTTGCCAAGTACTAGAAGACCTCAAGTGATCTGCCCACCTCAGCCTCCCAAAGTGCTGGGATTACAGGTGTGAGCTACTGCACCCAGCCTAAGATATTTTTTTTTTTTAAAAAGACATCACTTGTAAATCCAGCTCTCCATCCCCATCCCCCAGTTCAGTAACAACCTTGGTCTTTTGTCTTCCATATCAGGGCTCAGCATCTAGGTCCTCCTCTTTTCCGGTAGTTCTTTATGTTTCACTGCCGCATAGGCAGTTTTCCATGTCAGTAGATGGCGGAAGAGTCAAAGAGGTTTGTTTTCTCCCGTCCAGCATTATCAGCCCGATGCAACACTGGCAGGGAGAAGAGATGGGAACTTGAGTGGTTTCATTTGTGTAGCTACAAGGAAAGAAAATTTAGGGGAAGAGGAGGTGATCCATGTTTGGAAAACTAGATTATAAAGGAACATGTATTTTCTTAGATGAACAAGGAATGCTGGCCACAGATGGTTTCTCCAGGTTTGCATGTCTGTGAAGAGCCTTGTACCCACCAGCTCCTTTATGCCATCTCTTCATGTGGAATCTTTAGCAGGAGATGAAACCTGGCTAAAGTGATCTGACAGTTAAGGTCCAAAATGAATCCTCGCAGTGACAGTTCTGCAAAGCACCAGACAAAAGTAATTAAGACAGTAGGAGCAGCAGTTGGAAAAAGTGATGGCAAATGAGTGAGGCAGTTATCCAGTAATTTCTTGTTAATTTTAGTCATTTGCTTACAAAGAAAAATATAATGTTTTGTTAAATACATGCACTCTTACTTCTTTTGTCCTCATTGATGATGGAACTGTGACTGGAATTAGAAATTCAGCTTCTGTGTTTAAAACTGGGCCTGGTGTGGTGGCTCACACCTGTAATCCCAGCACTTTGGGAGGCTAAAGTGGGAGGATTTCTTGAGGCCAGGAGTTTGAGACCAGCCTGGACAACATAGCAAGACCCTGTCTCTACAAAAAATAAAAAAACGTAGTTGAACATAGTGGCATGCACCTGTAGTTCTAGCTACTTGGGAGGTTGAGGTGGGAGGATTGCTTGAGTTCAGGATTTCTAGGCTGCAGTGAACTATGATCGTGCCACTGCACTCCAGCCTTGGAGATGCAGCAAGACTTGAGACTTTGTCTCTTAAAAAAAAAAAAACCCAAATCAAAACCACTCCTGAAGCATTATATGCCCACTTTTTAGGAATCTATCCAAAGTAGATACTTGAAGTATCACATGATATAAAAAAAATTTACTCAAAATGGATCAAAGACCTAAATGTAAGAGCTCATAAAACTCTTGAAGGGAACATAGGTATAAATATTTATGACCTTGGATTAGGTAACAGTTTCTTAAATATGACACCAAAAGTACAAATAACAAAAGAAAAAAAGATAAATTGGGCTTCATCAAAATTAAAAACTTTTGTGTATAAAGGACACTATCAAGAAAGTGAAGGGCCGGGCCTGGTGGCTCACAGCTGAAATCCCAACATTTTGGGAGGCCAAGGTAGGAGGATTGCTGGAGTCCAGGAGTTTGAGAGTTTGAGACTAGCCTAGGTAACATAGTAAGACCCCAACTCTATTTAAGAAAAGGTAAAAAAAAAAAAAAAAAGAAAAAAAGAAAAAGTGAAAACACAACTTATAGGATGGGAGAAAATATTTGTAAATTGTTTCTGTGATAAGGGCATACTATCCAGAATATATAAATAACTTTCATATGTCAACAATGAAAAGACAAACAATCCAATTAAAAATTGGGCAAAGGGCTGAGCATGGTGGCTCATGCCTGTAATCCCTGTACTTTGGGAGGCTGAGCGGGCAGATCATTTGAGGTCAGGAGTTCAGACTAGTCTGGTCAACATGGTGAAACCCCGTACCTACTAAAAAAAATACAAAAAAAATTAGCTGGATGTGGTTGTGCATGCCTGTAATCCCAGCTTCTCAAGAGGCTGAGTCAGGAGAATCCCTTGAATCTGGGAGAGAGAGGTTGCAGGGAGCCAAGATTGCACCACTGCACTACAGCCTGGGTGACAGAGTGAGGCTCCATCTCAAAAAAAAGAAAAAAAGGCCAGGCAAGGTGGCTCATGCCTGTAATCCAGCACTTTGGGAGGCTGAGGCAGGCAGATCACTTGAGGTCAGGAGTTCGAGACCATCCTGACCAACATGGTGAAACCCCATCTCTACTAAAAATACAAAAATTAGCCGAGCATGGTTGTGCATGCCTATAATCCCAGCTACTTGGGAGGCTGAGGCAGGAGAATGCTTGAACCTAGGAGGCAGAGGTTGTAGTGAGCTGAGATTGCACCATTGCACTCTAGCCTGGGCAACAGAGCGAGACTCCATCTCAAAAAAAAGAAAAGAAAAGAAAAAAGTTGGGCAGAGGATTTAAATAGCCATTTCTTCAATGAAGATATATAAATGGCCAATAAGCACATGAAAAGATGCTCACCTTCATTAGTTATTGAAGAAATGCAAATCAGAACCACACCTAATTGAATGGCAATAATAATAAGGAAAAGGAAAATAAGTATTGGCACAGATGGAAATTAGAACCCTAATGCATTGCTGGTAGGAATGGAAAATGGCACAGCTGCTGTGGAAAAGTTTGGTGGTTCCTCAAAATGTTAAACGTAGATTGAACCTGCAATTCCACTTCTAGCTGTATACCCAAGAGAACTGAAGACATATGCCCACATCAAAACTCGTCCAAAAATGTTCACAGCATCACTATTCACAACAGCCAAAAGGTAGAAACAACCCAATGTCCATCAACTGATGAATAGATAAACAAAATGTGGTAGTACATCCAAAGAGTGGAATACTAATTCAGGCATAAAAAATAGTTCAGCCAAAAAGGAATGAAGCACTGATATATGCTACAACATGGATGCATCTTGGAAATACTATATACTAAGTGAAACAAGCCAGACACAAAAGAACAAATGTGATATGATCCCATTTATATGAAATGTCCGGAATAGGCAAATCCATAGAGACGGAAACTAGATTAGTGGTTGCCAGGCAATGGGGGTAGGGAGGAATTGGGAACGACTGCTAATAGGTATGGAGTTTCTTTATGGGGAGATGGCAACGTTCTGGAATTAGTGGTGATGTTTGTACAACCTTATGAGTATACACAAAACACTGAACTGTACACTTGAACGTGGTTAAAATGTTAAATTTTGGGTTTTATGCATTTTATCTCAGAATATTGCAAACAAAGATTTAGCTACAAGGATGTTCACTAAATTGTTTCTCATATAGAAAAAAAGGAAGAGAAAAAACTGAAGGGTTCAGTAGCGTATTACTTGAATAAATTGTGCTAGAGTTGTATGTACACATTTGTAGAAATGAACTTATTGATGTGAAAAGATGTTTATGATATCAAGTGAAGAAAAACCAGTTCTAAGGTAATATTTAAGGAATTATCCTATTTTTTGAAAAAAACCAAAATACACTAGAGAGGAGTGAGTGGAAGTCCATACACTAATGTGTTAGGGAGGCTGGGCGCGGTGGCTTACGCCTGTAATCCCAACACTTTGGGAGGCCGAGGTGGGCGAATCACCTGAGATCAGGAGTTTGAGACCAGCCTGGCCAACAGGGTGAAACTCCGTCTCTACTAAATATACAAAAATTAACTGGGCGTGGTGGTGGGCGCCTGTAATCCCAGCTACTCGGGAGGTTGAGGCAGGAGAATCACTTGAACCCAGGAGGCGGAGGTTGCAGCGAGCTGAGATCGTGCCACTGCTCTCCAGCCTGGGAAATAAGAGTGAAACTCCATCTTAAAAAAAAAGAAAAGAAAAAAAAAGTTACTTTTACTATCAGCTGCAAGGCAAATAGGAGACATTTATTAGCTTTTTACTAGCTGTGTGACTTTGGGAAATTTACATAACTTTTGTGCCCCCTTTTTCTTTCCGAAAAATGGGAATCATAATAAAGCCTCCCTTACTGAGGTAGCCATGGAGGAGCGGCACTCAGATTTCCCTTCAAGAAAGGGCTCGCTGTTCAGCCGTTAAGGAGCGCAGTCAGCAGATGCCTTCAGCCATTAGCACCTTTGGAACGAGGTCTCACCTTCGGAGGTGAGACCTTGATCTCCTAAGGTAGCCCCCAGCTAGTGACTGAGCTCAGTGGCTTCCGGGCTTGGGCACTGCAGCCTAAGATGAGCCTCCTCTACTGGCCAGCTCTTGTCCAGAGTTGCTGATCAGATTGGCCCAGGCTTTGTCAGGTCTGCAGCGCGGTCTGAGACTCTCCCTGCCCAAACCCACTTCCCCGCTTTCCTTTAATAGGTGTCAGATCTGCAGCACGGTCTGAAGAATTTCCCTGCCCAGCCTTGCTTTTTCTGACTTTTATCTTTCACCAGTGCTGTCCCACGGTTAACCTCTTGTACTCCTAGCTCCATCTGCTTTCAGAGGACCCAACTGACACACTTAGGTGTGTCATAAGCCACAAGTGTGACAGCACATGAAAATGCTGGACGGTGCCTGGCACACAGTAAGGCTTCAGTGACTGCTATCACTGGCATTATGTGACTGATCGGCTTTTTATTATAAAATGAGGTTTTGTTTTTGGTCACTGCTATTTTCTCATTTATTCCTGATTTGGCTTCCACCATCCTTTTCTACTGGCATATAAATGTAAGACTGTGTATATACTGATTAAAAATTTTAAATAAAAGTTTTATTGTTGATGTATATCTATGAAGGAAAAATTTAAACAAATATTGGCTAGCATTTGGCAAAGAAATTAGAAACAAGAAAACGAAGAGAAGAGAAAGTGTATGTGAAGATAGTACATTCTGTGAGGACAATTTTATTTAGTATTTAAACAGTGTTATATGTCGTATCCTCTTAACCACTCATTCACACACACACACCCCTCCATAAGAATTCTTCTTTGTCAGTATTTATTTTTTTGAGACAAGGTCTGGCTCTGTCACCCTGGCTGGAGTGCAGTGGCACAATCAGGGCTCACTGCAGCCTCGATCTCCCAGGCTCAAGCCATCCTCTCGCCTCAGCCCTCCAAGTAGCTGGGACTACAGGCCCGCACCACCACGCCTGGCTAATTTTTTTTTTTTTTAGTTTTACTAGAGATGAGGTCTTGCTATGTTGCCCAGGCTGGTCTCAAACTCCTGAGCTCAAGTGATCATTCCACTTTGGCCTCCCAAAGTGCTGGGATTACAGGCGTGAGCCACCGCGCCCAGCCTAAAAGTTCCATTTTTAAAATTCTTGGGTTGGTAGCTTAAATCCATCTCCTTCTGCTAGAGTAGGCATGCTTTTTATTCCTCAGAAGGTTTCAAACTTGGGCTTTCCCAGCCTTTTTACTTTTCTAACATGTTAAGTAGATTGAATAGATTTTTCTATGTCATTGACAAGTTTATTGACTAGTTATAGAAGTCATTTAAAAAATACCTCCTGTGACATGATTCCCATCATTTTCCAAATTGGGAGCACCTACTGGATACCGATGGATGACACCAGCCTTCAGAGGCTTTAGAAACCTTGTGCTTTTTGGCAAATCCGACACAATATAAACAATGCAAACTGCTTGTTTGATATCAATGTATGCATTTGAATCCGTCTCTTTTTGATGGTGGAACACACTTTGTTTGCATAAGATCTACCAGAGAAGCTGGTCAGCAGGTTTTTACCCTGAACATCCCTGGTAATGGTAACTAGTTGGAATTTAAGAAATGCAACTTCGTCAGAAATTATTCTCTTCAAAAATATGACCTTAGAGACCATCGGATAATATTTTGGCTCTTTGAGTCTTTGTGACTAATATTAAACATGGCAGGCATTTTCACATCATGTCAGTCTAAACAGAGGGTCAACCCTTTTATTCTCGGCTCTATTTTTTTTTTTTTCTTGAGACGGATTCTTGCTCTGTCATCCAGGCTGGAGTGCACTAGGGTGATCCTGGCTCACTGCAACCTCCACCTCTTGGGTTCAGGTGATTCTCCTGCCTCAGCCTCCCGAGTAGGTGCCTGCCACCCCGCCTAGATAATTTTTGTATTTTTAGTAGACATGGGGCCCACTGCCTCGGCCTACCAAAGTGCTTTGGATTACAGGAGTGAGCCACCACTCCCGGCTCCTCTTTTTCTATAACATGCTGGTTCTTCCTTGCCACCAGGCATCTTGGCTAGAAAAGCAAAGAGGATGAGGCATATTCTTATTCAGTTTCCTTCTTAGTCACAGAGCAAAAGTTCTTAGTGTACGGGAAAGGCACAACACTCTCTCTAAGCTTCTCAAGGGCAGTTGTTGTAAATCTAATTGCATTTTTCACCATTCTTAGCATTGGTGAGGTACACATTACACTTTCTGAAAATAAATTTAGGGAGTGTGTTAAAATATATGTATATGTGTAAATGTGTAAATTGTGGAGTGAGCCATAGTAGTTTATTAATTTTTGTGTGCTCATTGTGTGGTTAAATAAAATGTATACAACCATAAAATGTGGATTTGATTATCTTAAACATGGAGAGCTCCTGACTCTTTGTTTTTTTTTTTTTTTTTTTTTTTTTGAGATGGAGTTTTGCTCTTGTTGCCCAGGCTGTAGTGCAATGGTGTGATCTCAACTCACTGCAACCTCCGCCTCCCGAGTTCAAGCGATTCTCCCGCCTCAGCCTCCTGAGTGGCTGAGATTACAGGCATTCACCGCCATGCCCAGCTAATTTTGTATTTTTAGTAGAGACGGGGTTTCTCCATGTTGGTCAGGCTCGTCTCGAACTCTCGACCTCCCACCCCGACCTCCCAATGTGCTGGGATTACAGGCCTGAGCAACTGTGCCCAGCCAGAACTCCTAACTCTTTAGTATTATCTGATTTATAACTTTTATGAAATATCCCGCTTTGTTAGCCAAATATTTTCTAAGATATTAGAATGTTGTTGAAAAATTGCCTTTAACAACTAACATGGTCAAAGGTGACACCATTTTCCTTGCATGGAAGTAAGCATCTGTTCTCTGGGGGTACCGAGAGGCTGATCAGGGTACTAAGAGGACAGTAGGGGTAGGTGACCCCACGTTAAACTCTACTGTAAGAATACCTTCCCTGTTCCTTGTACCATTCAGGCTAAAATGAATTGACCATTTATTAGAATTCTCAAGAGGCAATTTGTATATGAAGACAGGGCAGTAGGAGAAGACTGCTGAAATTCTTTATGTACTAAAAATAACTGTACTTGAGATTGATAAAATTAATGTTTAATGCTTCATCAAGGACTTTTTTTTTTTTTTTTTGAGACACAGTCTTTCTCGGTCGCCCAGGCTGGAGTGCAGTGATTCGATCTCAGCTCACTGCAACCTTCGCCTCCTGGGTTCAAACAATTCTCCTGCCTCAGTCTCCCTAGTAGCTGGGATCACAGGAGTGTGCCACTATACCCGGCTAATTTTTGTATCTTTAGTAGAGGTGGGGTTTCACTATGTTGGCCAAACTGGTCTCGTACTCCTGGCCTCAAGTCGTCTGCCCGCCTCAGCCTCCTAAAGTGCTGGGATTACAGGCGTGAGCTACTGCGCCCGGCCCATCAAGGACCGTCTTAAGTGAAATTGACTTTTTTTGTGTGTGTGAGTCTCTGGTGTTGACAAGTAAAATGGTTATTAATACATCTGGTGCTACCACCTTGACTTGGGCTAAGGTGCCAGCAGTTTATCCCACCATTACTTTCCCCACCATGAGTGCACTTGTCAAGAGTGAAGAAGGCAAATAATGTCTTACTATCGGTATCAAAATAGAATCATTTAAAATTCCAGTCTGACAACTATTCTCATTTGATTAATCTGTTTACATTGAGTGTAAACAGACATATTTGGGTTTGTCTGCCATCTTACTATTTGTTTCTATTTTATCCCATCTGTTTTGTATGCTCACTTTTCCTCACTTTTCTTGCCTTTATTTGGAGTAGTTTTTAAAATTATTCTATCCCCCATGTCCCTGCCAGTAGCTTGTTATTCATTGTTTTACTACTCTTTTAATGGTTACCCCAGAGATTATAATACAAATCCTTGCTTAATTACAATTGTAATGTAAGTATTGTCACCAGTTTCTGGACAATGTGAGGGCTTTAAACACTTTCACTCCATTTACCCTCCTTCTTTTAAAAAACCTTTTTAGAGACAAGATCTTGCTGTGTCACCCAGGCTGGTGTGCAATGGTGCGATTCTGGCTTGTTTCACCCTTAAACTCCAAGGCTCAAATGATCCTCCTGCCTCAGCCTCTCAAGTAGCTGGGACCACAGGCACATGCTACCACACCTGGCTGATATTTTAATTTTTTATAGAGACAGGGTCTCATTATGTTGCCTGGGCTGGTCTTGAACACCCGGACACAAGCAAGCCTCCTGCCTTGGCCTCCCAAAGTGCTAGGATTACAGGTGTGAGCCACTGTGCCCAGCCATTTACCCTCCTTTAAAAATATTTTTTACTTTGAGAAAAAATTTAAACCTGGTTGGATGAAGCCCACCTAAGTTATGAAAGATTATCTCTTTTATTTAAAGTCAATTAAGTGTAGCTGTTAACCATATCTATGGAATACCTTCACCTAGCTTTGTGTTTAATTGAATAAACTGGGTACTATGACTTCGCCAATCTGACATATAAAACTAACCATCACAAAGCATATTCAGTTTCTTCTCGTTGTCAGGGAATATAACAGCCATTTGCACTTTCCATTTGTTCATTCATTTATTCAAGAACTATTTTTTGAGCACCAGCTATGTGCCAGATACTGTTATAGATGTGTGGATACATGTTCTAAGATCCAGACAACTGACTTACAGATAACTGTTACAATATAACCTATTTATAAGTTAGGACCCTATTATATATAAGGTTATGCCTTCTTTTTGACTTTATTTTCCTGCAAGACATAGACAGAAATGTATTCATTTTCATGACTTTCATCAATCTCCTTGCTTAGTTCTTTGTCAAGTAAATATAAATATCTGCCAAATAGCTATCAAAAACAACATTTGGCCAGGTGCAGTGGCTCACACCTGTAATCCCAACATGGGATAGGTGGGGGCGGGAGGATTGCTTGAGACCAGGAGTTCTGGCTGCAGTGAGCCAGGATTGCACCACTGAACTGGGTGACAGAGCAAGACTCTGTTTCTTAAAAAAAAAAAAAAAAAAAAAAAAAAAAAGAAGCTTAAATTAAACCAATAGTTTTACCTGGAAGGTTGAAGTCAAGGGTTATTGAAGTGGAAGAAAAATCTCTGCCCCACGTGGCAGCTGATTTCCAAAAGGGGCAAGAGAGGACAAGCCCCATTGCATAAATGTTTTTCAGGCCTCTGCTTGCATCTCGTTTGCTAATGTCCCATTATCCAAAGCAAGTCACAAGGCCAGTCTGGGTTCAAGGGGTGGGGAAGTAGAGTTCATATCCTGGTGGAAATTGCTACAAATAATTTGTGGCCATTTATTCTTTGCCATCTACCGCAATGGTCTGAAAGAAATATGAAGCACATGACAGCAGGTTGGCAGCTGGTCAGAGGGTCACACCAATGGAACCCCGCCGGGCATATTCTGATGTATATGGATAGTGCTTTCTAGGCCATACTGTGGTACCTGGTCACTTTTTAACATAAAGGGGGAAAGCTGCTGATTATATAATTAAATCAGACAAACCACATCATTTAAGCATTAAAAAACCTCCTTTGAAGCCTGAATTCTTGGTTTTCCCATTATATCAGCCAGATACCTTGTCAAACGGTGCCTTTTGTTTTATAGGCATTATATATGCAACTTAGATTACTGCCTTTTTCCTTTATTCCTGTGCTCATAAGCATACCCCGAATCCCTAAAAAAAAACCCCCGATTTTCTTCTTTTTCTTGATTATACAACTTCTAAAAGATTGCTTTGGGCTGGGCGCAGTGGCTCATGCCTATAAATCCAGCACTTTGGGAGGCCAAGGTGGGCGGATTACCTGACGTCAGGAGTTCAAGACCAGCCTGGCCAACATGGTGAAACCCCGTCTCTACTAAAAATACAAAAATTAGCGGGGCGTGGTGGCAGCTGCCTGTAATCCCAGGTACTGAGGTCGGCGAATCGCTTGAACCCAGGAAGCTGAGGTTGCAGTGAGCCCAGATCGTGCCATTGCACTCCAGCCTGGGCAACAAGAGCAAAACTCTGTCTCAAAACAAACAAACAAACAAACAAACAAAGATTGCTTTGTCATTTAGATTCAGAACAATGCATTCTATTCTCCCGGTAATGGCTTTTTATGTTTTCTTAAATAAGTAAAGTGGAAGGTATATAATAGACACTACTGCTTCCTCCCCCTGGAAGAATTACTTAGTTTTAGTAACACAACATGTCATGCTTTAAAAATCTGGCAAGAAATGATGAAAATATACCCTTCAACAAAGTTCCGCTGACGTGAACTGAGTTGCTAAGATACTTAGCTAAGCAAATTCAATTATAAGCTTTCTGACTCAACTGCGCACTGATTTTCAGGATCTTGCAATGTGATGCTACTGACCTGAAAGAATGAATGCGCCTTTAAAGAAGGGGGAGATTATTTGCTTCCCATCAGCAGGCTCAAGCTCAGTATTTTCATAGCGTGTTTAATAAAGCTTTGGAAAGAACACAGTTAAAGTGATGACCATTAGCTGGAGTAGGAAAAGATTCAACTCAAACATATTTCAGTTATCTTAAACAAATTCTTCCCTGAGGTGTACACACATGCAATTAGTTGCCTTTCCCAGTGAATGTTGTACAGCCATATGCCCCAGAAGAATTTGGCTCCATTCAGTTACAATTCACAAAAGGCATTTTTCAAACATCTTGAGTGACATAAATAGCTGGCAAGAGTGTTAATTGCAGAAGTACTCTGATTTATCAAGCGAATAACTATGTGAATGTGCTTTGTAAACTACAAGATACTCTGAAAATATCTGTTGTCATTCTGTTTTTTTTTTTTCTGAGACAGAGTCTTGTTCTGTCGCCCAGGCAGCAGTGCAGTGGGTCAATCTCGGCTCACTGCAACCTCTGCCTCTTGGGTTCAAGTGATTCTCACGCTCGGCTTCTTGAATAGCTGGGCCTATAGGCATGTGCCAATATACCCACCTAATTTTTGTGGTTTTTGGTAGAAACGGGGTTTTGCCATGTTGGCCAGGCTGGTCTCGAACTCCCAACTTCGAGTGACCCACCTGCCTTGGCCTCCCAAAGCGCTGGGATTACAGGCATGAGCCACCGCGCCCAACTGTCATTCTGTTTTTTAACTCGTGTACATAATACATACAGATTAATAGGTTACACCTTCTTCACAATGACTTTGCAATTTGTTGGACTGAAAAATGAAATAATTTTGGTAACACTCTCCCAAGATCAGTGAGTTTTTCTGTTGTTTTCTTTCTTCTTACCATTAGACTATAGGCACAATGTCTCAACGGTATTTATAATTCCTTGAAAGAATTATTTCTAATTATCTATGTAATATACACCTATTTTAGAAAAGTTTAAAAATGGAGAAAAGCATGAAAAGTAAATAATAAGTAATTATTCCATCACCCAGAGGTAGTAGTCATTAATATTTAGTCCATTTTCTTCTCATCCTTTTTCTACACATATAAGTATATATGGAAATATGAAAATGACATGTATTTTTGATGTGATTGTATAAGAGGCAATATAGAATACAATTGAATATTGGAGAGATGTGCCATGATTTACTTAACCAGCTCCATTACTGAGTATTGTTTACAAATTATTACTATTACAAATATTATTATAATGAATATCTTAATGCATAAAGTTTTATCTGCATTTCAGATTATTTGGTTAAATTAGATTCCTACAAAGAGATTCTGTTGACCAGCCTCTAACAATATGGTCCCCTTTTCTGTTATTACTGCTGTTGTGTAAGTACCACCACCTGAGCCCACCCCTATTCCCACTTCCCACTGAACGGAGCTTTTTTGTAATACCAGTATGATATTGCAAAAATGATGAAGTGTGATTTCTGCGGCCAGCCATTGTGGCTTTCTCCTTGATCTCTCTGTGCTGGTTCACTTGTTCTGGCAGAAGACTTCAGCATTCCTCTGGAGAGGTCCATGTGGTGAGGACCTGAGGCCTCCGCCAACTACTATGTGAATGAGCTGCCTTGGGAGTAGATCTTCCAGCCCTGGCTAAGCCTTCAGACCGCCGAAGCCCTGGCCACCAGGTGGAATGAAACCTCATGAAAAACCCTGAGCCAGAACCGTCTAGGCCAAGATGCTCCCAGATTCCTGTCTAGTAGAAACTATGTGAGATAATAAATGTTATGGTTCTTTAAAATATTTAAATTGCTAAATATTAGGGTTCTTTATTATGTAGCAATATATTAGTAATACATAGATAAACTGGGTTAAAAGGTAGAGTATTTAAACATGCTTGATAGTGTTAAAAGGCTTTCCAGAAATGTTATACTAATTAACTCTTATAGAAGTATGTCTATTATAGTCATGCCTGTAATCCCAGCACTTTGCGAAGCCAAGGGAAGAGGATTGCTAGAGCCCAGGAGTTCAAGACCAGCCTGGGCAACATAGTGAGGCCACATCTATACAAAAAATAAAAAAATTAGCCAGGCGTGGTGGCACACATCTACAGTCCTAGCTACTTGGGAGGCTGAGGTGGGAGGTCAAGGCTGCAGTTAGCTGTGATTGTGCCTGGGTGACACAGCAAGACCCTGTCTCAAAAAAAGAAAGAAAGAAAGAAAAAAAAGTAGTATGTGAGAATGTTTATAGTATTGTACCTTCATTACCATTGAGTATTTATATTTGTAACCTTTATAATTTCATAGAAAAAGTAGGGCATTTTGCCATTTAAAAGTTTTGCTTTTATTTGTTTCCTATTGAGGTTAATTTTTTTTTCATGTTTCTTTTTATATTTCCTCTTCTGGGAAACCTCTTTACATATAATTTGCTCAACTTTCTATTGGGGTCTTAGTGTTTTTCTTAGTGATTTGCATAAGCTGTTTATATATAAAAGGCATTAATCATTTGTCATGTTTGTTATAAATATTGTTTTCCAATTGGTTGTTGCTTTTTGGTGTCATGATTATATGTAGGTGTTTTAAATTTTTATGCAGTTCAGTGGATTATGGTATCTTCTTTTGTGTTTAAGCTTGGAACGTGCTTTCATTTGAAGAGAAGATAAATGCTTATGATATAGTTTTTGGTTTTATTTTATATTTGGATCTCTAATTCGGCTGGGATTTATTTATTTATCTTTAGAGACAGAGTCTTACTATATTGTCTAGGCTAGACTGCAGCGACTATTCACAGGTGTGATCATGGTGCACTACAGCCTTGAATTCCTAGGCTCAAGCGATCCTCCTGCCTCAGCTACCGAGTAGCTGGGAATACAAGCGTGCACCACCATACCCGACTTATTATTTATTTTATCACCAAATAGCAAGCCAATTTCTACAATGCTATTTATGCAATAAATAGAACAATTTCATTCTTTCCTGTTGATTGGTAATTATTATATGTTGAGTTGTTTTAAAATCTTGTGACTTTCTGTGCTCTCTATTCTATTTCACTGAAAGCTATTCTTGTCAATATGACTCCATTTTAATTATTGCAGATTTATAATTTGTAATAACTGGAAGGACTAGTTAGTAGAATGACTTTAAGAAATATGATCTTTCAGCCTGGGCAACATTGCAAAACCCCATCTCTAAAAAAAATACAAAAAAAATTAGCAGGGTGTGGTGCATGCCTGTAGTCCCAGCTACTCAGGAGGCTGAGGAGGGAGGATTGTTTCAGCCCAGGAGGTTGAGACTGCAGTGAGCTGTGATTGGGCCACTGCACTCCAGCCTGGGCAATAGGATGAGACTCTGTCAGGAAAGAAAAAGAAAGAAAGAAAGAAAGAAAGAAAGAAAGAAAGAAAGAAAGAGAGAGAGAGAGAGAGAGAGAGAGAGAGAGAAAGAAAGAAAGAAAGAAAGAAAGAAAGAAAGAAAGAAAGAAAGAAGGAAGCAAGGAAGGAAGGAAGGAAAGAAAGAAAGAAGGAAAGAAAGAGAAGAAAGAAAGGAGAGAGAGAGAAAGAAAGAAGGAAGGAAGGAAGGAAAGAAGGAAGGAAGGAAGGAAGGAAAGAAGGAAGGAAGTAAGGAAGGAGATCTCATGGTCTCTCAGAGCCACAGAGCTTTCCAGAATGCAATCAAATGTTTAAGAGTTGGGTGGCCTGTCACTAAAAAATATGAGAGAAGGCAAAATTTCATCAAAATCAGAGTTTTGTGGAGCTGGCCAGAAAAAAACATTTTAATATTCTAAGAGGCAAAGAAATGAAAAATCCAATCAAGTGTTCTATCAGAGGCAGGTTAGAGGCAGACTTCTAAGAATAAATGGAAGAAAGAGGGAATTATGTGATGTAGATGAGTTCTGCTGCATAAACAATATTTGGCCCATAAATTAGTCTTCATATTTTTGTGTATTTTTGTCTAGCTATGGAAAGTTTAAAATAATTAAACAGTAAAACTATCTGAGCCTGGGAAATGTCTAACAAATATTTCTTTGATAACTTAAATACTTTCTTCTTTCACCATAAGTTTTAGGTTTTCAACTTGTTGAGTCAATTTTGGCCATTATATCTTTATGTTAATCATCTAGTTTACTGAGATTTCTGTTTTATCTGCATATACGAATAATTGTTATTTTATCATTAAAAATTTCCAGACTGTTGCTGATTTCTTATTTTACTTATGGTTTTTTTTTCGTGTGTGTGTGTGTGTGTGTGTGTGTGTGTGTGTGTGTGTGTATTGTAGAATGAATTTGACAGAAAGATGCTTATTTCATTTGTATTCCCCCCCAAAACATCTGCTATTGGGTTTATCATTTTTACTGTTTTTATTTTCTTTAAATTTATTTTCCTTTTCTCTTTTCTTAGATTCGTTTTAGCTATTCTAATTTTTTGAGTTGAAGAGTTAGATTTTTTCTAAGAAGAAAAACATTTAAGGTTATGAGTTACGCTGTAGCTTGTACAACCCCTAAACTAAGTTTTCTATGCATTGTTCTCATTTTCATTATTATTGTGATGTTTTTGAGACATGGCTGGACTGCAGTGGCATACTCATTGCTCACTGCAGCCTCAACTTCCCAGGCTCAAGTGGTCTTTCCACCTCAGCCTCTTTAGTAGCTGGGACTACAGGTGTGTACCACCATGTCCCATGAATTTTTTGTATTTTTTGTAGAGATGAGGTCCTACTATGTTGCCTAGGCCGGTCTTGAACTCTTGTCTCAGGTGATTCACCTGCCTCAGCCTCCCAAAGTAAGCCACTGCCCCCAGCCAATTTTCATTATTTTGCAAATAGTTTGATGTTATATTTGTTTTCCTCTTTGACTTAATATTATTTTATTTTTTTAAAAAGAAGCTCTGACCAAGCAAATTACTAGTCTGTCTCTTTATTTTTTTTAGTAGAACTTTTTTTTGGTTCTTTTTTGTCCTAAAATAGTTTCTGAAAATTAGGCCATAGAAGAATTTTAGATTCTTCTATGCAACAACAGAATGCAACAACAGAAGTCATTGCATTTGAATCATTTACTTCACTTATTTGATCCTAGTCTTATGTGTCTCAGATTAAATCAACTGGCTTTGAAAATCCGAGTTTTATGCCATTTAACTCTGAATGAAGAGTGCAAAGTGAAAGACTTGGGAAAAGGGACGAACTTACCCCTAGAAGCCCGGGGCTCCTTGCCTGGCAGATGGTCAGAAAGAACTGCACTACCTTCCATTTTCAAGTCCCTAACAGAGAGGCTCAGTGGCAGAATGGGAATTCTTCCATGAGGACTCGACAGTCAACCAAAGTTGAACAATTACATGTAGAAGAGAGTGAGCAAATAGAGGGCTTGCTGAATGAAAAATGATTCTGAATTCTACAAAAATGTAAGGTCTTTAATCTGGACCCTACTCTCTGAATTGTGCAGGCTGCACTGAAACGCCCTGGTGATCTGACGTTTAGGAAGAAAGTTAAAGAGTTGGTCAGATGGATAGTTCATAATGGGTGATTCCAGTCCAAGAGCCCATTGCCCAGCTTTGGTTTTGGTTGTATCATAATCTCCAACCATTAATCCCATTGACAGAGTGGAATATTTCAGTTAACAAGACAATATAATTAATAGAGCTATCATTGAACCCAAAAAGGGATTACCAATTTTAACATAATTATTATAAAACGTATGCTAACCCCCAAATAATACTATGCATGATGTGACCTCTCTTTGATTTGGAAGAGCCTGTAGAACCTCAGAGGGTGTCAAGGCATCACTTTGAGTATCAGTTAGGATTATTTGGAAGTATAGATGTATCAGATGATAGAAATGACAAGCAGTACTGCCCAGAAGGGAGTTTCAAAGAGGATGACCCCCAAACGGAACTTCCTGCAGCTGCATTTAAAGAATTGTGTTCATGTGTGGTACATGCATTTTAAATTCCCAACATTATTGACATCTGGTCACCTCATCTTTGCATATTGTCCATTTTATTCCAAAAGCCCTTGGCATTTTATCTGGGATAGCATGGGTAAACTGAAACATTTGACCTCGACTTTCCCCTTTTGTCTTTCATCTGTTTCTGGTTCATTGGCTGGGAGTTGCACCTGCGGGAGGACGTCTCATGCAGACTTGCACATATACAGGGAGTGTTGCATTGAAGGTCTTTGCTGGACCTTCTGTTCAGAAGGTGATTTTCAAAAGCGAGCAATGCTGCCAATGCAGCTTGCTTCTCTTGACAGATTGAGAAGTCCAGCTTCAAAAGTTACCTGCCATTTAAGCAAGGAGTTTGTCAAGAGATCATGGTTCATTTTATTGAAAAGACTTTAAGGAGTTGTAGGATTTATTCATAGATTGCTGAGAACAATGGCAATATTTTTATTTTTACAGAGTTTGCACTTCTGATTTCAGGTTAAACGCTAACTTGTTTTTAGTCTGCTTAGGGGATTGTGACTTGAAAATTTTTATATTCTGATGAGCTTTTTTGTAGTGTCCACAATGTATAAAATATTTCCTAGGTGAGATCTATGTTCTCCATTTATTGATGCATTGCAGACCAATTTGAGTGATGTGTTTAAGGAAAATTCTTCCTAGTTTAATAAGTAAGCTAAAAGGTTTTTTTTTTATATTTAATGTTTAATCTCTGTCTCGTGTTATTTAAAATTAGCCTGCAGATACTTTCCCTCACTTCTGTAGGCTCCTGGAAGATAAACATTCAAACAGCGGAACAAACAATAAATTAAATAAAAAATAAGAATTATATTTTCTTAATTTCTGCCTCAGAATTTGCGTTTTGTCTTTCTGCCTTTTTTTTTTGGATGTCAAAATAGATGAGATCGTATACTCTATGGAGTATAAATTGTTACTGAAGTCTTTATTTTTGGTAATGAATGAGTAAGAATAAGACTATCTCTGTGATTATTAAAATACATGGAATTATCCAGGAAATTTTCCTTACAAGGAATTAAAATATTCCTGTATTAAAGAGAAGAAAAGCCTTTCCCAAGCGGCTGGCGAAGACGGCAGAGGTGCAGGTCCTGGTGCTTGATGGTCGAGGCCATCTCCTGGGCCGCCTGGCGGCCATCGTGGTAAACAGGTACTGCTGGGCCGGAAGGTGGTGGTCGTACGCTGCGAAGGCATCAACATTTCTGGCAATTTCTACAGAAACAAGTTGAAGTACCTCGCTTTCCTCCGCAAGCGGATGAACACCAACTCTTACCGAGGCTCCTACCACTTCCGGGCCCCCAGCCGCATCTTCTGGCGGACCGTGCGAGGTATGCTGCCCCACAAGACCAAGCGAGGCCAGGCCGCTCTGGACCGCCTCAAGGTGTTTGATGGCATCCCACCGCCCTACGACAAGAAAAAGCGGATGGTGGTTCCTGTTGCCCTCAAGGTTGTGCGTCTGAAGCCTACAAGAAAGTTTGCCTATCTGGGGCGCCTGGCTCACGAGTTTGGCTGGAAGTACCAGGCAGGGACAGCCACCCTGGAGGAGAAGAGGAAAGAGAAAGCCAAGATCCACTACGGGAAGAAGAAACAGCTCATGAGGCTACGGAAACAGGCCGAGAAGAACGTGGAGAAGAAAATTGACAAATACACAGAGGTCCTCAAGACCCACGGCCTCCTGATCTGAGCCCAATAAAGACTGTTAATTCCTCAAAAAATAAAAAATAAATAAAAATAAAAAATTAAAAATAAAGAAGAAAAATATTAAAAAAGTATTTATTTGTAACTAGCTCCATCTAGTGAGAATTGCTTAAAATTACATGATTCATTTATGAATCTCCTTTGAACTAGTAACATTTTTTGAGAGCACTTTTCCATTTTAAAGAACTATAAATCCTGTAATTTTATGTTTTATAGAACCCCCAATTATAGACTAGAAGAGTTTTGGTAATTATAGAGCCTATTTTAGAAATTAATTTATGGTGAAAAATAAAGATATACCTAATGAATTAGTCACTTCTCAACATCATCACTGCAACTTTTTGGAGAAGCAGTAAAGTGGACAGTAAAGCTAAATCCTGGTAGAAAAGTAAAATACTGACTTCTTGAGACGAGAAGTGGGTGTGGGGCATAATAGAAAGATGGTGATGAGATTGCTCCAGACTTTAGGATGAGAAGAATAACCTTGTTAACAGTTCACAAATTGCTTGCATTTGTTTTTGCATTTGCTTTTTTGGACATCTTTGAGGTAGCTATTTCAGTCGACTCTTGAACAACATGAGTTTGAACTGTGTGGGTCTACTTTTACACGGAGTTTTTCTCTTTTCTTTTTTTGAGACAGGATCTCCCTTTGTCACCTTCGCTGGTGTGCAGTGGCGTGATCATGGCTTACTGAAGCCTTGACCTTCCGGGTTGAAGTGATCCTCCTGCCTCAACCTCTCCAGTAGCTGGGACTACAGGTGCACACCACCACACCCAGCTAATTTTTCTATCGTTTATAGAGAGGTTTTGCATTGTTGCCTAGGCTGTGCGGATTTTTTCCAACAAATGTTACCCCGAGTGTGCCTGCCTCGCCTGCCTCCCCTTCCACCTCCTCCACCTCTTCCACCTCTACTACCTCGAGACAGCAAGACCAACTCCTCGTCTTCCTCTTCCTCCTCCTCAGCCTACTCAATGTGAAGATGATGAAGATGAAGACCTTTATGATGATCTACTTCCATGTAATGAATAGTAAATATATATTTTCTATTTTTTTCTTTTTTTTTTTTTTTTTGAGACAGAGTCTCTGTTGCCCAGGCTGGAGTGCAGTGCCATGATCTCAACTCATTGCAACTTCTGCTTCCCGGGTTCAAGCGATTCTCCTGCCTCAGCCTCACGAGTAGCTGGGATTACAGGCGCTTACCACACCTGGCTAATTTTTGCACGTTTAGTAGAGATGGGGTTTCACCATGTTGGCCAGGCTGGTCTCGAACTCCTGACCTCAGGCGATCCACCCGCCTTGGCCTCCCAAAGTGCTGGGATTACAGACGTGAGCCACCGTGCCCAGCGTAAATGTATATTTTCTTCTTTATAATTTCCTTTTCTCTAGCTTACTTTATTGTAAAGATACAGGATATAATACCCACCACATACAAAATATGTGTTAATCGACTGTTTCTGTGGGAAGGCTTCTGGTCAACAATAGGTTCTTAGGTTTTTTGGGAGTGCCCCCTAGCCGCCACACTGCTCAAGAACCAACTGTGTTCCCTTATTTTGCAGGTCAAGAAACAGTCTCAGAAAGGTGAGGGCTGCTCCCAGTGCTGCAGGGCATTGTGGATGCTGTGGGTGCTGCCCGGATTCCCCTCCAGGACTGAGGCACTGCTCATTCTCCAGCCGCTGGGGGAGCCGCTGCCTGGCACCTCTCACCTGTGCTGCTTTCCCAGTGTTGCTTTTAGCCAAAGAAAGACACTGCCCAAGATTAAGCTCCCTCCCTAGGGACCGTGCACATCCAATGACTGGTTCCTGTGAGGTACCAAGACTTGTCCACCATGCCTCAGTTTGCAATATCTCAGAAGGGCCATCCCAGATCCAGAGCTCTCCATGGACCCACTGAGGCTCAGCTCGACTTTTCTATCTGCCAAATTCTTTGTCTTTCAACACTTACAGGTGCTATTTCTGCGATTACTCTCCAATAACTTCTGTATAGAAATCTCGGTGTCTCAGAGTGTGTTTCCCAGTGAACTCCACCTGTGACAGCTGGTACTGGATGTGGTCCTAGGAACTGACTCTAAAATAGGATGTTGTTGCTGCACCTGGCTGGCTGTAATAAGGCCCCCATCACTGGTAGAGCGCTAGCCCCCATCATAGGTGAAGCGCTAGTTGCCCCAGGCATCCATGCCAGTGCCAGTGTTCACATGTTTACAGGTGGCAAACTGGGACACGAAACTGGTAGAAGGGGATAGGCTGGCAAGTGACACATATAGGAGGTTGAGAGTTTCAGGGGAAATTAAGTAAATACAAGAATTTTGGAATTAGATGACTGTTGTTGGAGGCTATGCATGCATTGGAGAAAGACAATGACTGCCTCGGTTGGTTACTTAACCATGTGAGGGGAAGTATGAAGCCAGAACTTGGCTGTATATAAATAGAATCTCATCTCCGGTTGCCTAAGGGCCGTACAGCTAAGGACTTATATGAATAGCAAAGTTCCAGAAATTGTTGAATTCTTAATTCTCAACTCCAGCCAGTTCTGCTATATGTAGGTCAGGGTGCTGATTTGGAAGCAGTAAGATTCTGAGACTTTGGATGGGGACACTTGGTCCAAGCACTAAAAAATCTTGAATCATCAGGTCCCGCTGGACCTGTGGGCCTGCAGAAGTGACCCACTCCTCTCTGGTAAAGGCTAGAGCCTCTGGCTTATTTGAAGGTCATATGGAGGATCCTGTCTTGCAAGAAAACCCTAGTTTGTTTGGGATGGACTGTAGAATTGCGTAGGCGA
The DNA here is from genome assembly GCF_000001405.40 of Homo sapiens. Lineage (NCBI taxonomy): Eukaryota > Metazoa > Chordata > Mammalia > Primates > Hominidae > Homo > Homo sapiens. The sequence continues at coordinate 31,249,198 of NC_000012.12, read as the reverse complement.
ATAAAGAGTACCACTCTGGTTTGATGTGGGGTGGAGTGCTGAGGGGGTTTGCTGGGGTGTAGTTGTGAGGGTCTCCTAGGAGGTCAGCAGAATTGATAAGAGCAAGAGAAGTAGAATTAATATCTTTAATTGTGTAATAAGAATAATATATTTAATTGTGTAATAAAGAATATCTTTAATTGTGTAATAAATTGTGTAATATATTTAATTGTGTAATAAAGAATATCTTTAATTGTGTAATAAGGGTGAAAAGGGATTTTGTCAGAATCTGATGAAATTCCTGAGGGGTTAATAGATCCCTTTTCATGTAGGAATAACAGGTGAATGGCTACTAGGGCTGTAATAATGAAAGGCAAGATTAAATGAAAAGTGAAGAATTATGTGAAAGTGGCTTTATCCAATGAGAATCCACCTCAGATTCACTGTACAAGGTCAGTTCCAATATATGGGATGGCTAACAGTAGATTTGTAATTACTGTTGCATCTCAGAATGATATTTGGCTTCATGAAAGTACGGAGCCTATTAATACTGTTGCTATAACTGCAAATAGAAGAATACTGCCAATATTCCAAGTTTCTAGGAAAGTAAATGACCCGTAGTATAAGCCTCGGCCTACATGTAAAAACAGGCAGATGCAGACTATCGAAGCCTCATTAGCATGTAGCATAATTATAATTCAGCAATAATTTACATCTCAGCAGAAGTGAGTGACTGAAGAGAAGGCGGTCAGAGTATCTGACATGTAGTGTATAGCTAAGAAAACCCTGTGATGATTTGAAGGACCAGGCAGATACCTAGAAGCAAGCTGAGATTTTACCATGCCGAGATGTTTGATTGTGCAGGTGGCTCAATAAACAGTGGTTAATAATAGAGAATGTGTTTTTCGGATGTTAGTCATTAGAGTTCTTAGAGTTGAAGCACAACAATGATTTTTGATGTCATTAGTTATGGTTATATCCCATGTAAGAATTATGACATACACTGTATTCTTATTAAGTATTATTCTTATTATAGGCTTTATGGGATTTTCTTCAAAGCCTTCTCCTATTTATGGAGGCTTGGGATTAATTACTAGTGGAGGTGTGGGTTGCAGTACTATGTTAAATTGTGGTGGGGCTTTTGTAGGTTTAATAGTTTTTTTGTTTTGTTTTGTTTGTGATGGAGTCTTGCTCTGTTGCCCAGGCTGGAGTGCAGTGGCACGATCTCAGCTCACTGCAACCTCCACCCTCTGGGTTCAAGCAATTTTCCTGCCTCAGTCTCCCGAGTAACTGGGATTACAGGCACGTGCCATCATGCCTGGCTAATTTTTGTATTTTTAATAGAGACAGGGTTTCACCATGTTGGTCAGGCTGGTCTCGAACTCCTGACCTCATGATCCGCCCGCCTCAGCCTCCCTAAGTGCTGGGATTACAGGCATGGGCCACGTGCCTGGCCTGGTTTAATAGTTTTAAAATTTTATTTAGGGGGAATGATGGTGGTTTTTGGTTATACAATGGCAATGGCTACTGAGGAGTATCCTGAGACCTGAGGGTCAGTGTTGTTATTTGGGATGCCTCACTATTAGGGTTGCTGTTAGAGTTGGTGATAATTATGTGGTTAATTGATTATGATGAGGTGGGAATTGTAACTGATTTTAAAAATATGGAAAACTGGGTGACTTTTGAGGTTGGGGAAATAGAATTACTTTGTGAGGATTCTATGGATGTAGCTGCCTTGTGCAGTTATGGGTGTTGGTGGGTGGTGGTTGCTGGTTGATCTCTGTTAGTATCTTTATTGTGATTGAGATTATGTGAGGGAATAGGGTTAAATAATTAAGAATAGAGTTAGGAGAGATGGGATAAGGAAGGAGAAAAAGTAGAGCATAATTAGATCTTTCTGGTTAGATACAATGGTGGAGGCTATCATTTGAACCTGGGCAGTATTTTTTGGTGTTGATTTTTCTAATCAAATCAGTTCTAGTAGAAGAGAGGTTAGGTTTTGTCTTGCATGGAAATTTGAGTGTGGTGTTGTGTGGTGTATTGTGATTGGGTAAAATCCTAATATATTGGAGAAATTAAATATTTGTGATGGGTGCTTGAGTTTGAGGTTGTTAGTTACAAGGTTAAGTTCTATTGCTAGTGAGAAGCCTAAAATAGTTACGCTGAGGGTTGTGAGTTTTAGGTGAAGGAGCATAGTCATTTGGGGAACTGATATTGGAATAATATTGTTGGAGATTAAAAATCCAGCAAAAATACTACCAATTGTTAGGCATTTGATTGAATTGATTAGGAAGGGGTTGTTTTTGTTGATGACAATTACAGCCGTGAAGTGAGGTTGTCCTAACAGTGCAAAGAAAATAATTCGGGTGCTGTAGACAGCTGTCAGGGAGGAGGCAATGACAGTAATTAAAAGGGCTCAGACGTTGGTATGCGACATATTTGCGGTTTCGATAATAAGATCTTTGGAATGGAAGCCTGTGAAGAAAGGCATTCCTGTGAGTGCAAGGCTGCCGGTAATAAGTGGGGAAGAGGGCCTGCAGAAGTGATCCACTCCTCTCTGTTAGAGGCTAGAGCCTCCGGCTTATTTGAAGATCATGTGGAGGATCGTGTCTTGCAAGAAAACTCGTGCTCTGCTCAGGATTCAGCTCTGCCTCCTCTCTTGGCCATCAGACCCGAAGCTAAGGGCAAGTTAGAACATAACCCAGCCACAGAAGTGCTGGGCCCGCTAAGAAAACAAACCTGCTAAGAAAAAAAAGTAGTTGTAGGCCTGGTCAATGTGAACCATCAGGAACTGGGGGAATATGTACGGGACTGGATCTTGAGGGTGCTGAACCAAAGGAAACAAAATACAAATTGGAAAAGGGAGAACTTTCTTTTACGGTACGGAATTTACACCCTGACGAGGACCCCGGGAGATGGCGCCAACATACTACTACATCACAACCTCTAAGAGGTTGCCTCTTAGAGGCCTGGAAAAGTATTGACCCACGTTAAGTGAGGTAGAATTGGAAGAACTGCCACAGCAAATGGTGAAGGAAGGAATCAGGATGTCCAGAGCAGTGGGCATGCCAAACTGGTTAGACTATAGAGGCCAGAAAATCCACCCCCCACAGTGTTCCCTAGGAGGGCCCAGAGCATACTCCGTTTACCGGCGTGCTAAGTCATGGCCTGGTGAGGAGGGCACCAGCATCACAGAGAAGCCCTGGAGTTGCCGCCCAGCATTCCAAAGGGCAGGCTGATGGCAGGAGATGCTGTTACAGCGCTGGGCTTGCTGCCAGCAATGGGGATGATAGGGTCCCGAAATAACAGAGGCCGGGGGGCAGAGCCCAATGCTGCAAGCCAGGTAGGCACAACTGAGACCGTGTTGGCTGTGAACACTAATGACAGGATATCTGGGTCAGAAAAGGCTTTCACTCCACTCCAGAATCATACCACATTGCCTCAGTGAAGCTTAAAAGTCCCCTGGGTGAGATCTCTATTTTTATTTTAAATTTTAGTTGCTGATTCTGGTTTTCTGGTATTATGATTTTTTATCAAACAGACATCTTAACAGCAGGCCTTTTAAAATCTGGATTCTAAGCCCCAGTGCCCGATGTCATCTATTGCATGGAATTGATCAACTTCACCCTCCATGCATCTAGATCAGTGCCATCCTTCTGGATTCTAGATTTGCCTTTTTTTTTTTTTTTTTTTTTTTTGAGACAGGGTCTTGTTCTGTCACCCAGGTTGGAGTGCAGTGGCACAATCTCATCTCACTGCAGCCTCCGCCTCCTGGGTTCAAGGGATTCTCTTGCTTCAGCCTCCCGGGTAGCTGGGATTACAGGCGCCTACCACCACACCTGGCTAATTTTTGTATTTTTAGTAGAGACAGGGTTTTGCCATGTTGGCCAGGCTGGTTTCAAACTCCTGGCCTCAAGCGATCTGCCCACCTCAGCCTCCCAAAGTGATGGGATTACAAATGTGAGCCACTGTGCCCGGCCAATTTGCCATTCTTATGGGAATTAAGAAATAATCACTCGAATTATGTCATGTACTCTGGGTCAGATGAGGAATAAGGAACCCTGTTCGGATGAGGAAGCCCAGTTGAGAATAGTTGCAAGCTACCTATATCCTTAACCTTTCAAACGATGTTTCCTTTGCTTTCTTTCCTCTGAAGACTCAGTTCCCCTTCAATCTCAGGTTTAGTTTTTGTTGTGGTTGCCATTCTCATTTACCTTTGGTTTCTCAAGCTTTAAATTGCGCTGTTGTCCTTTCCATAGCTTTCATCTCTCTGTTCTCTCACCCTTTGGCAAAAATCCTTCCTCCCTTTAGGATCACAGGAACTCCCTTGAATTGTCTTCTGTTTATGAAACCTTCTTTTTTAGTTTTTTTCGAGTCTCGGATATGTATTAATTAGTGTAATCTCCAAAATAATACGTCAAGATGATTTCATGTATTTTAGAGGAGAAATGTTTCCTGGTTAAGTGGGAAATTGTGCGGATGGCTCCTGGAAGAGCTTCATTCTAAGCAGCTTTAGAGTGAAACATTTCATTTAGAAATCTGGGCCTTCTTGCTTCAGTTTGCTGTAATCCACATTCACCGAGTTGAACTTGTACTGATCATTGGCACCCAGTTTGTCTCAGGGTTTTTGGGTTATTCTTTCTGCCCCTACTAACATCTGATCGAACAGTGCCAGATGCAAGACATACAGTGCTGCTCCAGGACCTCCAGCTCCAATAAATATTAAGAGGAGGATCAAGCTTGGAAGCTTCTTGGCCTGGCCGAGGATCTGGTGGAGGATGTTTGCCGCAGAGGTCTGATTGGAAAGGAGAAATGCTATGAAGACTTCTTAAGAGATGCCTCCCCTGAAGGCTGTATCTTGACTGAGCCCCTTCCCATTCTCCTTCCTAGTTCTTTCTTTGCCTTCAGGGCACTGATTATTTTGTGACACTCATATAAAGACATATACATAACCTAGTTAATTATGTATATATAAAATTTTATGTAATTATTTTTATGAGTAGTGGATATAAATCTCATTCCTCAGACTCAGGTATGCAAGAAGTACAACTTAAAGTTTTTATTTTAGGCCAGGCGCGGTGGCTTACACCTGTAATCCCAGCACTTTGGGAAGCTGAGGCGGGTGGATCACCTGAGGTCAGGAGTTCGAGACCAGCCTGGCCAACATGGTGAAACCCCATCTCTACTAAAAATACAGAAATCAGCTGGGTGTGGTGGCAGGTGCCTGTGGGCCCAGCTACTTGGGGGGCTGAGGCAGGAGAAAGGCTTGAACCTGGGAGGTGGAGGTTGCCGTGAGCAGAGATCGTGTCACTGCACTCCAGCTTGGGCGACAGAGTGAGACTCTGTCTCAAAACACATATATTTTTTAAAAATTTATTATTATTTTTAAACAGGGCCTTGCTCTGTTGCCCAGGCTCGAGTGCAGTGGAATGATCACATCTTAATGCAGCCTTGACCTTCTGGGCTCAGGTGATCCTCCCACCTCAGCCTCCTGAGCAGCTGGGACCACAGGTGTGCACCACCACACCCAGCTAATTTTTAAATTTTTTGTAGAGTCAGGGTCTCCCTATGTTGCCTAGGCTGGTCTTGAACTTCTGGGCTCAGGCAATTCTCCTACTTTGGCCTCTCAAAATGTTGGAATCATAGGCCTGAGCCACCACACCTGGCCAAGAAGTACAAGTTTAAAATTTTTCTGTAACAGGGAACATTTCTGACTCTAAGCCTTCATTCAGCCCAGGTATGAAGCTTAATCCCAGTCATATCTGTGGCTCCCTACTGCTGCCTCTGGGGTTTTGTCAAGTTCAGATGGTTCTGCAGAGCTGCCCTGGTGGCAACTGCTCCTCTGCTTCTGCCAGGCCCCTCCATCTGGGCTCAGGCCTGGGTCGTCTTTCCCACCTGCACTCCCTCCGTGGCTAATCTTCTGCAATTCTTGGATGCTAAGTGTCATCTTTGCGTAGATTTGTCCATAGCCTCTAGGGCAGACTTCTCCTCAGAACTCAGGATGGGTGTATCCATCTGCCCACTTGGCATTTCCACCTCAATATCTAATTTCTCTTTTCTTTTTTTTCTTCTTTTCGGCATGTTGTCCAGACATCTAATTTCATCTTGGATTTACCTGAACCAAAGAGAACTCTTGATTTCGACCCTTTGCCTTGCCCCTCTCCCATCTTCTTCCGTAGCTCTAGCTAGACACTCATGAGCTCTCCCTGGTGCTTGTTTTCCCCATCCAGGCATTCAGCAAATTCTTCTGGCCCTACTCCCAAAATATATCCCCGGTCCATCCACTATTCTTTATTACCAGTGCTTTCAACCTAGTCTAGAGTATCACCTCTCACCTAGAATACTGGAAGATTTCCCTTACTTGTCTTTAAACAAATTTTTTTTTGAGACAAGCTTTTGCTCTATTGCCCAGGCGGGAGCGCAGTGGCGTGAATATGGCTTAATGCAACTTCAACCTTCTGGGCTCAAGCAATCCTCCCACCTCAGCCTCCTGAGTATCTGGGACCACAGGCATGCAGCACCATGTGTAGCTAACTTTTAAATTTTTTGTAGAGACGGGGTCCCGCCATGTTGCCTAGGCTGGTCTTGAACTCCTGAGCTCAAGCAATCCTCCCACCTTGGCTTCTCAAAGTGCTGGGATTATAGGCATGAACCACCGCGCCCAGGCCCTTACTTCCCTTTCGGCTTCATGCTTGTTTTCTTATAAGCGTTATTCCACACAGCAGCCAAAGTGTTTTGCTAGGACTAAGACTTGGACTAAAATGGTGAGACTATGTCGTAACTCAGCTTAATAGCCTCTGCTTCCCGCTAAACTCGGAATAAAAACCTAAGTTCTTCCTCACCGCCTTCTGTTATAGTGAACTGGGGTCTGCTTGCCTGGTGCAGTAAAACCAGACATCTACCCTGAGGTTTTGCAGTGACAGAAAAGTGTTCATTTGCAGGGCACCAAGCAAAGAGGACCAAGCAGTTAAATGCTCAAATCCTGACCTTCCCAATGGTTTGCAGGCAAGGGTTTTTAAAGGCAGGAGTAAATTTCAGGAAAGCAGAAGCTACAGGCAAAATCGTAAATCAATACATGGAGATTACACATTGACTTAGGCCTAAAAGGGGAGGATATCTTGAGGGGGGCTTACAGGTCATAGGTAGATTCGAAGATTTTCGGATTTGCAACTGGTTAAAGAAGAGAAGCTTTGTTTAAAAATTTGGGATCTGCAGAAAAATGTTAACTGGCTGGGATGGGGTGTGACTTTCTCTAAGCCCCATCAGGAAGAAGTTTTATCTTCAGTTTCCCCCTTATCTGAGGTCTAAATGCCAGTGGATCTGTTCGGTGTGGTTCCTCAGTGGGGGTTTCTGAAAGACAACTCAAGGACGTATGTTCAGCTGTTGTCTTTAGTTCCTACAGGGAAAGCAAACATCTCTGGAACTCAAACGTCCTTGGCTCTTGTTTTAGGCTACTATTACCTTCTTATTTACTTCTGGGGATAGTGAGGTGCCTGGAATTTCTCTTGAAGGAACTTAGGGTTTTTCTTTATTTTCATGCTTGGGGTCTTCAGGCTCCTAAGAAAGGGGCCCCTGTTGCAGCTCAGTTCCATCCTTGTCACTCCACAATCCTGAGGGGTATAGGGGAACAGACCACTCTGGCTACTTCCTGCTGAATTGGGGCAAAGATCGGGGACTAGGATATGAAGAGAGAAAGTTTCTATAATAGCATGGAGTTCACAATATTCACGAGTCCCAGGCATGGCACCGTGGTGCTGAACTATCATTGTATTAGTTGCTTTAGTCACAGCTTCACTACAACATTTTAATGCACATTTGGTCATAATAGAAAGCATAAGCACAATTAACAAGACTGACATGCCTAGTTTTAGCCACCCAGAAAACATAGACTGTTTTCCACGAGGAATCCAAGAAAACAGAAAAGAAAACCAGTCCTCAGAGACAGTCTGGGAGGCTGTTGTACCCAAGTGGCTTGCTCTCTAACTTTTCCTAGATGAGTTTCTACCTCCACGGATTCGTTTATGTAAATATAGCACGCGGTATTTGCAACCATACATACTCCTCCCTGCTCCGCTAAGATGTAATCTAGGGCTATCCTATTATCTAAGACAACCTGACCCAATACATTAATTCCTCTCTGCTGGGCTGCGATTGCAATTTCCTTGACAAGAATTCATAAAGGGAGAGATTTCTAATTCTGCGCTCATGGGGCACCGTTCTCCGCCAAGGTAACAAAGTTTATCTGAAGAAATACCCAGCTCTGTCTTCTTGGTACCAGGCAAGTATGAATCTGTATATCTCGAAAGTGAGTTGTGGACCATTTAGTTTTACCAAGTAATTTTAGGGAGCTTTTCCAGTGCTTGGTTTCAGCAGTTTTGTGTACAGAAAACTGGGATAAATGAGTATCCTTACAGGCAAGTTCCTCCTATATGCTAGCTGTCAATACATTCATACATCCAGAGGGTTTCTTGTTATCCCCTACAAACAAATAGATATTCTGAGGATGCACAGAGGAACACAGAAAGATTGTATAGATTAAGTTTAGAATCTTGTAGCAGGGCTTCGTGGATTGGATTAAACCAAGGACCTGGTAGGTCTATTTCCGAGTGTTGCTTTGTAGTAAGGAGTTGCTGAATTTAACTCGATCCAAGATACAGCTTGGAGGCATTCCTGAACAGGCTGTTAGGGAATCACAGTAATAAGAGTAAGGGCATCTAGAATTCCCATCAATCTGATAGTAAACTAAACAAAGGGGAGGCATATGATTCCTTCTTCGGCAAACTTGATCAAGGTAGCTCCTAGAAGCAAGGGACATGTAATGGTATTTCTCTCTCTTTTTTTTTTTGAGATGGAGTTTCACTCTTGTTGCCCAGGCTGGAGTGCAATGGCGCGATCTCGGCTCACAGCAACCTCCGCCTCCCGGGTTCAAGCCATTCTGCTGCCTCAGGCTCCCGAGTAGCTGGGATTACAGACATGCGCCACCACGCTCGGCTAATTTTGTATTTTTAGTAGAGATGGGGTTTCTCCATGTTGGTCAGTCTGGTCTCGAACTCCGGACCTCAGGTGATCTGCCTGCCTTGGCCTCCCAAAGTGCTGGGATTACAGGCGTGAGCCACTGCGCCCGGCGCTATTTTTCTGTTATGCAGTAATTTGTAGTTGAGTCAGAAAATGAGAAATTAGACAGTGGGTTAATTATGGTGAAATCAACAGGCTTGGGGTGGCTGAGGCTGGAGCATTGCTTGAGCCCAGGAGTTTGAGACCAGCCTAGGCAGCATAGTGAGACTTCATTCCTATTAAAAAAAAAATTAGCCAGACATGGTGCGTGCCTGTAGCCCCAGCTACTTGGGAGGTTGAGGTGGGAGGATCCTGTGAGCCCAGAAGGTCGAGGCTGCTGTGAGCTGTGATTATACCACTGCACTCCAGCCTGGGTGACAGAGTGGGACACTGTCTCAAAAAAAAGTGGCAATAAAGTGGCAATAAAGGCACTCTCGTTATCACTGTGTATGGGGAATGGAACCCCAAATCTGAGGAAAATTTCTTTCAGTAAGGCTTTTGAAACCCTCTCAGTGTGGCAGGGAAAGGCTTGCACCTGTCCAATAAATGTGTCCACCATGACTAACAACTAACTAAAATTTTCTTTAGCTCTTGGCTTTACGTTAAAGATCCAAATCCTGGCTACCATTCCCCAGGTCCTAGGGAATATTATAGCCAGGAAGCATTGCAATAAAAAAAACTTTTTCTTTTTCACAAGCTCAAAGCTAAAAGCAGCCCAATTCTGCAGAATACATCCTACCGGGCCACAAGGAGGAATAGAGCACACATTTCCCATTTTAGATGACAACCTTAGGTGACAAACCCTTAATGCCTCAGCTGGGCTTTGAACTGTGTTTAAACCAAGTCAAACAATTTTAAACAAGTCCAAAAATTTTAAATGTGATTTCCCAAGGTCCCAGTCCCTTCAGCTGTCTATGGGGTATCTCCCACCCAACGCTCTGAAGAAGCAGAGCGTAATATCTTGCCCAAGCAATGCCAAGATGTCTTGCCAAAGTGGGACCAAATGTCTGAAGGAAAAATACCTTGAGGCCGTTGTCCATGAGCCTGCCACTTAACGGCAGACGTCTTCCCAGCCAAGTGCCTTGTTTTTAACACTGCAATAGTCATAGCACCCCACGGGCCAGTGGTGCCTGGTTATCAGCCAAACACACAGATCCCTGAATGAAATAATTCGGGCAGCCGCTAGATGGGGTCTGAGGGTGACTATGACTAGAGGCTGATGTGCCATAAGCGAGATGCCCACTTCGGACTTTTGTCCCTTCATGGTTGTTAATTGTTTTAGAACTGAACTAGGACCCTTACCAGGCACAATAAAACCAGATTTCTATACGGAGGCTTTGCAGAGATAGAAAGAAAAGCTAAGATCAGGGAAGGAGAGACCAAGGCAGGCTTTTTCATTAGCAATGGTGTTGAGCAGGCAGTTTGGGTAATTTCTTTTCTTTTTTTGAGATAGAGTTTCACTCTTGTTACCCAGGCTGGAGTGCAGTGGTGCGTGCTCGGCTCACTGCAACCTCTGCCTCCTGGGTTCAAGTGATTCTCCTGCCTCAGCCTCTCGAGGAGTTGGGACTATAGGTGTGCGCCACCACGGCTAGCTAATTTTTTGTATTTTTAGTAGAGACGGGGCTGGTCTTGAACTCCTGACCTCAGGTGAACCGCCCGCCTTGGCCTGCCAAAGTGCTGGGATTACAGGCGTGAGCCACTGCGCCTGGCCTGGGTAATTTTCTTCTATACCATCCCAGGTTTAAATTCTGGCCATCCTTCCCTGTCTAGCTGAAATTCCATGGTCTGAATGAAATTTTTGTGTCCCCACTTGCAGGCACCTTACCATCCTCTGAATTTCTCAAGTACACTTTATATCTGTGTTGTCTAAGCAGATGGTTCCTGTCTTTTTCCCTCAACCAGACCATCAGCCCTTTGACGGCTTTCTTTCTATTCTTTTTGACTCCCTTTGTGCCCTCCCCTATTCCCTGACCCACTCCATCCCGTACCAGGCACAGTAATAGATACTCAACAAATATGTCATTAAATTGACTAAACGATCCCCTGCAGCCACATGCACCTGCCTGTGAGCTGGGTGACAGGCTACTTTATTATCTTTCCCATTCTTTATCACATGCCCCCTCCAAAAACAACATTCTAAGTGCTGTATTTCTGGGAGGCTCAGAGACCATTTATTTATTTTTTTAAAGGTTTTTACCTGCATTGTGCAGTGGAGGGGCAAATTCTAGGCCAGACCTGTGGTCAGAGCAGAAACGTAGAGTGGTCTGTGCTGCTCTCAACACTCATTCCAGGATCAGCTGCTGATGGCTGTATCATCTCTGCTGCAAGGCTTTGAGAAGAGCTGTATTCGGGCAGCTCTACAGGAAAAAAAATGTGATCACAGTCTCCCAGGTTTTCTCAGGCAGCAGCAGAAGGTAGTAGCAAACAACCCAGACAGTGGTGACCTGTAGCTGTTTAGGGAAAAATATAGGTGAGTGAATGAAGGAATGAGTGGAAGGAAGGATGGATGAATGAACGAGATCACAAATGAACAGCATGCTGTAGTGGAAAGAAACCTGGAGACATGGGGTTGGCATCCTAACATTTTCCTTATCCTTTGTGTGATGTTGGAAAAATTGCCTGATGTCTTCTCAGTTTCCTCATCTGTAAAGTGGGGCAAAAGTACATACTCCTCAGGGTGGTTGAGAAGATCAAAGGAGATGATGTTTGTGAAAGTACCTACTTCCTTTGAGGCCATGTCTAACGTAACCAGGGTCTCAGTGGACACGTAAGACTGGGTGTGATGGGTACGTGTGTGTCTGTCCCCCACACGTGGGGTTTTAATTGAGTGGGTTTCAATGTGGAAGGTGCCCACTGCATCCTGTCTCCCACCCCGTGATGATCGCCAGCTATTTCAGATGTGGACAGCGGTGTCCCTGGGGGCTGGGCTTGCACTGCAGCTGGAGTTTTAGAGATTCTGCTTTCCTGGTGAGCTCAACTGTGTGAAGGCTGATGGCGGGGTTCGGCCAGTGGCACCATCCGTGTTTGCCTGTGTGGGAAGAGCAGGTGCCAATCTGATGAGCTCTAGGGTCCAGGGCAGGCGGTTTGGCCCAGCTGCCTGCAACAACACTTAATCTGGGAGATCCCAGCTGATTCTCTCAAATGGAGACTTGCTGAGGCCATGCCTCATGTTCCAGGATTCCTGGGGAGCTGCTGAACCTGGGGAGGGGTGGAGGTACCTGACCCAAGTTCCCACAGCTACTCTGTCCCTGTGACTTGAGGTTGCAAACTTCCCCAGGGCTGAGGGCACGCTCTGCTGCTCTGTCTGAACCCCCAGCTCTGCCTCCTGAGCAGATACTGTGTGGCTCTGAACCAGTTGCTTAACGTCTCTGACCTTCACCCTCATTGGTAGACAGAAGACAATAATACCTACCTGAAGAGATTGGTATGATAATTTCATGTTAATTACCATTATTGAGTACTTTCTAAGAGTGCTAAACACTTTATAAACACTTTACAAACATGATTTCAACAGTAAACCTGAGAAAGGCGGTATACTTGCCATTTTACAGCTGAAGCAGCTGAAGCTCAGAGAGGTTAGGTAGCTTTCTCTGGGCCGCACAGCTGGTAGGTTTCAGAGCCCGTTCATACCAGCTGTCTTCCTCTTTGCTGCCCTCAGGTTGCTTCCTGCAGTAGATAAGATGAGATGCGAAGAGCACTCGGCCTGCAGTTGACTGGATCTGAATCTGACAGATCCTGTGGAATTTGCTGAGAGATTGATTGGGACTTTCTGGGGACTGGAAAAAATGGGGATGGGGTAGAGAGGAGATTAGTAAGCCTGGGACTGTGCTCCCCAGCCTTTGTAGGCGAATCATCCGAGTCCGGGCTGTGGGGGATTTTTGGTAGCAGGCTGTTGACTCTTCTCCAGGTTCAGTCGGAGGGGGAGGGCAGGTAATGATGCTGAAGGACACAGCTTGTTCTGCAAATTTGTGAAAAGCTCTGCAGGCTCACATCCCAACGTCATTGGACGTGCTCTGGGTTCCCTGTACTATAGGGAACATTTGAGAAATGTCATATGGATGTGCTTCTGCCATTAGGGAGCGCCCAGTTGTCAGACAGACATGGGCACGCATATGAGTGATTGGGAGCAGCAGCCAAGGCAGTGAGCAGTACGGGGTGAGGATCTGCAGGACAGGAGGTTGCTGCAGGTGACTCATCAGGGAGGGCTTCCTGGAGTAAGTGGGGCTGTGGCTGAAGCATGGGTAGAAGTGACCAGGAGAGGGATGGCAGCTGAGGTAGTGAGATACATCAAAAGAGAGGGCCCTTCCCAAATTTGGGCCAAGGGCTCATTGTATTATCCTGATCGACGTCTCCTTCTTCACATTTTTAAGTATCCCGTGTTGGCCACTCTGACAGGAAGCCACTGACAGAGACCTGGGTCCTGCCTCCTGATGTCTTTCCATCAAAGACAGACAGGCTGGTGCCCACTTATGTGAAATGTCACCTGCAAAACATTCTATGAAGCCATAAGCAGCAGAGAAGGTTCTGGTGCCTGTATTTTCCACCTTCTCCTTATACCAGGGCTACCTGTTGGCCTCAGAACAGAGGGTTCTTCTGGCCGAGAGACTTCAGATGTGGCTTTGCCTTCTTTCCTCCCTCACCAAGGACACTCCCAGTGGACAGCCAGAGCCACTGCAGCCTGTCCCGCCCGAGGCAGGCTGCCGTGGAAGGACTCGTGCTCTCAGTCCACTCTTCTTTCTCTGAGCTTGGCCCACCCTCCTGGTTGGGCTGGAATTGAAAAACTGGCTTTTCTCTCTGGAACAAATGGCGGTTTTATGGCTTAGGGTTTCAGCTCTCTGCAAGTCTCCCCTGTCCCCAGGCACAGAGAGGGCAGTCAGCTTGCCCCCGCCTTCCAAAGCTGGGGGTGGGCATTAGCACAACTCCTTCCAGCTGTCCCTGAGTCCACACAGCCAGCTGCTGCCTGCTGCAAAAGGACATTGATGCCACCGCCATCTGCAGCTCATTTCCCTGGAATCAGCTTTGCAAACAACCTTTTTAATCACGTTTATGACCTCAGCATATAATTGCTGCAGGTTTGAGTTTCCAGTGATGATGAAAAGCTTGGCTATAAAGCCAGCAGGTTGGGTTTCAAAATCTCAGCCTCATTTTGGATCCTTTCCTACCTTTTTCTCTTCCTTCCCTCCTCTTCCCTCCCCCTCTAATCCTCAAGAGGACTAGGATATTCCTTCATTTTCCTGTGCTGTTTATGGTTTACAAAGCACTTCTATTGTTCCTGTAAGGAAGATGCATTATCCCCACTCTATAGGTAGAAAAACTGAGAGTCAGAGAGGCCAAGTGATCTGTCCAAGGCTCCTGGTTAGAAGCAGCTGAGCTAAGCCTGTGATCCTGGTCCTGGATCTGCATCCTTTGTTGCTCTCACTCTGCGGGGCAGCCTTGGTCTGGCTGGCATGACAAATGTCCTTCCCGGGCATCTCAGAGTCCTCTCCTGCCCCACCCCCGGGACATATTGGGCTGATCAGTCTGCAGCTGCCAGGATCCAGCCTGCTTTGTGTTGAATTGTGGTTTGTGGCTTTTATTTGTTCCCACGATGCCCTGTGTGAATGTCACTGAGTTTGTCAGGGCCGGCTCCTTCTCCTTGGCTAGCTAGGAAAACCGAACCCCAGATGGTGCTCTTCCCCAGAAAGCTTGGCCAACTCTCCCATGTCTCATGGGGAGAGCCCTGGCTGGGAGTCGGGACTCCTGGCTTTAGATCCCAAGGCCAACTAGTCTATATTCCCTATTTTAGGGTAAAATCCCTTGCCCTTATTTCCTCACTCAACAATGGAGTTAAAGGTTACCTCTTCAAATCCCAGTCCCTAGTGGGGCAGCGTGAGGGTCCATTGGGAGAGTTAGCAGGGAGCAGCAGCGGATGCACTATTTAGTGCTTAGCTCTTAGGAGCAGGGGGCACCGAAGGTCTTTCGCCCATGGGTGTGCTGGCTGTGCATAGTAAACATGAGTAGCCGGCGGGACTGGCCCGGTGTCTGTACAGCACCTTCATCCCCAAGCTGTTTCCTCACTTCAGGTTCTCTCTGGTTTCCCCCAAAACATGACCACCCCAAAGGAATGACCTCCCAAAGGAGGTCAGGTGGCCATCTTCTCAGCCTGGAGAGGGGTATGTGGGTTCCGCAGGCACCCAGTATGGCAGGACATGGCTGGCATTAGACCTGAGGGCACCCTGATTTGTCCCTTGGTCCTGCCTTCTGTTTTCCAGGCCTGACTGTCATCCTGGGAGAGAAGAGGGCGAGCACACTCTCCTCCCTCATGAAAAAGAGGGAGAAAGGCAAGGCATGGAGGGGTGTGGGTGGAAAGCGAGTGGCAGGGCTGTTTTCACATCCTTGCTGGGAACGCGTGGCAGGAGACTGTCTGACTGGGACGTGGCCCCTGTCTGAGCCAGGCCTGCCTGTG
This sequence comes from Homo sapiens, assembly GCF_000001405.40. NCBI lineage: Eukaryota > Metazoa > Chordata > Mammalia > Primates > Hominidae > Homo > Homo sapiens. Next base: position 31,233,720 of record NC_000012.12, on the reverse strand, counting down.
CATGCTGCCTCCCTGACTTCAGCCTCTATTGTCTGTGAAAGGCACACACTTGTACACATGTGCAGAGGGGACGTCCCCTGTTGGTCCTAATTTTTACCCTCATTAATATGATCATCATGGCATCTATATTCCCATTTCCCCAGCCCTCCGTGGTGCCCTGCCAGGCAGCCTGGTCCATGTCCCTGTTCTGCTGCCTGAGGTGGATCCCAGCAAACAGGTTCTGAGGGATGGGGGCTCTCCTTTGTTTGCCTTGTAGAAGTAGCAGCAGCAGTGACTTCTGAACATCTCTTTGGGGGCTCTGCTGGGCTTTCATGTGATGTGAACTGGGTAGGGGTTAGTTGCATAGGTGCAGACAGTGGCGTTGCTGGGGCTGAAACCCAGGAGTCCTGGTTCCTGGTCTGCTCTCTTGGACTTGGTCTTCTTGGAGGGTTATCAGAGCTTCTGACAGGGTCGTGACAAGGAGGGTGAAGAAGAAGGCGATAAGCAAGGAGCTGAGTGGGGGTGAGGAAAACAGCCAGGGATGTGGAAATTGTGAAATGGAATAAAGGCAAAAGAATGCTGGCTGTAGGGCAGGAACAGGGAGGGCATCTCCAAGATAAGAGGTACAGAGAAGTTTGACAAAGAGGGACAGGCATCATGACCTTATGTAGTCCCCCTGTTTCTATTACTCGCCTTTTTCCTCTTAGCTTTTATATATTGTGGGAATATTTAAACATGCACAAAAATATGGTGAATAATGTAGTGAACCCCTATGTCACCCTCACCTGATGCCACATTCTACTGTGACTTTATTCCATCTACTCTCACTCCTTTTTTTTTTCCCTCCTGGAGCATTTTATTTATTTGAGCTGAGGTCTCATTCTGTTTCCCAGTTTGGAGTGCAGTAGTGCGATCTCAGCTCACTGCAACTTCCACCTCCTGGGTTTGATTCTTGTGTCTCAGCCTCCCGAGTAGCTGGGATTACGGGCGTGACACCGCATCTGACTAAGTTTTGTATTTTTAGTAGAGATGGGTTTCACCATGTTGGCCGGACTGGTCTGGAACTCCTGAGCTCCAGTGATCTGCCAGCCTCCTGGAAGATTTTAAAGCAGATTTAAGGAGATACGCAGGTGGGGTATCTCCCTGCATCTTTCCCCGCCTGCTTGTGTCTGGCTGGGTGGATTCACCTGTTCCTGGGCCTGAGTTGATGGGGGTGGTGCTGAGGAATGGTGCTTTCTTCTGGTGGGAGGTAAGTAGGTGCAGAGGCCCTGGGCTTCCTGCTATTAGCCAGCTCTCATTTTCGGAGGTATATACACTCCCCACTGCCAGCCCTCGGAGGAGGGAGGCAAGAGGGATCTAAGCCACGATGCTGCTCTCTGTGTCTTGGGATTTCTCTGAATGACTTTCTTCTCTCAGTCACGTAGCTGCAGGCAGAGCCAGCCACCGCTGAGAGCACCAGCCTTTCCCTGGTGCGGCATGCTAGCCCCTCCCAGCGTCTCTCCTTTCCCCAGCTCTGCATTAGGAAGGACCCTCTTACAAAGCAAGAGAGGTGTTAGACAGCCAGCTTCCTGCTGCCTTCAGTGTATGGGGATGCTGAGCTTATCCCTGGTCTCCTGGGGAGGAAAAGCCAGGATCTTTGGGTCCAGTTCCCTGCCTTCCCACGGTCAGCCCTCAGAGGATGAGGCCCTCTGTAAAGCGTACTCGACGGGAAGACTCGGTCTGACAGGCACACTTTTGGATGCCACACTGGACTTTAGTGACCTAACAATACAGCCCAGTATCACTGGCATCATCCTCTTCCCCCCTTCTCTCCGGGATGGGAGCTCTGCATACTCAGCCCTTTAGTAGTGTCCCCTGTGGTCATTACTGCCCCCTGCTGAGTCCCCTCGGGTGTGTGGCCGTGTGTACCTGCCTCCCCTGTGTCATCCTCACCTGATTCTCATGGGGCCCTGGAAGGAAGTGATGACTGTTTCATTTTATAGCTCCACAGCAGATGACACCCAAGGTAAGAGCGGTTAAGTTACTTTGCCAAGGTCACATGGCTGGTCCATGAGGGAGGAGACATTTAAACCCAGGGCTGTCTGGCTTGGAACCTCTGCTTCTCACGCTATGCCAGCCTGTCTCTACTGCACTGTGGTATTAACCACGAGCACAATATTAACTGCTGTGGTTTAATGTGTGTTTTATATATTACAGCAATGGCACTAAGATGGCAAGGATGTTTGAGAGTTGTGGCTTGCTGGTTGTTGCTGTAACTAGGTTTGTACATGAAATATTAGCAATCAATAAACATGAGAAGGAATGCAGAACATCACTAGTAATCAAAGAAATCCAAATTATGGCAACAATAGTATACTACTTTTTGCCTTTCTTTTTTCTTTATTATTATTCTTTTTTTTATAGAGATAGGATCTCACCTTGTTGCTCAGGCTGGAGTGCAGTGGTGCAATCATAGCTACTGCAGGCTCAAATTTCTGGCCTCAAGTGATTCTTCTGCCTCAGCCTCCCTAGTAGCTGGGACTACAGGTGCATGCCATCTTGCCTTCCAAATGTGCACAGATTTTTAAGCTGATAACTGCTAACATGATGCAGCCCTCTACTCCAGCACTGGTGGAGTATAGCGTGTCAAAACCTTTGAGAAAAGCCTCTTTGCAAAGGGTACTACAAGCCTTAAGAACTAAGGCTAAGGGCACTAAAGGCATATCTTTGGACCAGTAACTGCACTTCTAAAACTCCATATTAAGAAAATAATAAGAAAAGCTATCAAATATCTTATGTGTTAGAGTGCTCATTAAAGAGCAATTTATAATAAAGGAAAATCAAAAACAATTTAAATTTCTTACATTATGGGAACATTTTATTTATTTACTTTTTATTTTTTGGGACAGAGTCTCACTATGTTGCCAGGTTAACATGCAATTGTGTGATCTCAGCTCACTGCAACCTCTGCCTCCCAGGTTCAAGCAATTCTCCTGCCTCAGCCTCTTGAGTAGCTAGGATTACATGTGCATGCCAGCATGCCCAGCTAATTTTTGTATTTTTAGTAGGCATGGGGTTTCACCATGTTGGCCAGGCTAGTCTTGAACTCCTGACCATGTGATCCACCCACCTTGGCCTCCCAAAGTGCTGGGATTACAGGCATGAGCCATTGCACCTGGCCCATTAGGGGAACATTTTAAATAAAGTATGGTATGTGCATGGATGAGTGGGTTTGGGAAACTATTAAATGACACAGGGAAAATGTTCTCAATGCACTGTGAAGTTTACATACTATGTATATATGTATAATTATGTATTGTATTACCAACATACATGCCTTAAAGTTTTCTCTTTTTATTTATTTATTAATTTATTTTTTGAGACAGGGTCTGGCTCTGTTGCCCGGGCTGGAGGTGTAGTGGCACCATCTCAGCTCACTGTAGCTTTAATCTCCTGGACTCAAGCCTCAGCCTCCCCAGTAGCTGGGATTACAGGTGCGCACCAACATGCCTAGCTAATTTTTGTGGTTTTTGTAGAGACAGGTTTCGCCATGTTGTCCAGACTTGTCTCAGACTCCTGGGCTTAAGCGACTCACCCACCTCAGCCTCCCAAAGTGCTGGGATTATAGGCGTGAGCCACAACTCCCAGCTTTAAGTTTGCTCTTTTTGGTGTACAGTTCTTGGAGTTTTAAAAAACACATACAGTTGCAGGTGTGTCCATGTAATTTCAAGTGAGGAAAAATAGAATACAGTATTTTCCTAAGTTTTGAAAACATATATGTTTTCCTCATATGGCTGGAAGGAGAGCACTAAAGAGTAATCAAAGTAAGTGGACCTGGCTTAGTGGCCCTGGAGAAATGGCGTGCAAAATTTTAAACAAACATTTTCCTCCTGGGCCTCAGTTTGTTTTCCATGAGATACCATGAGTGCCCTCAGTCCTGCTGTAGTCAGTGTGGTAGGTGTGGGCTCCAGGCCACGATAGGCCCTGACTGTGGGCAGAGGCCCCAGACTTACCAGTGTGCCCAGTGGGGCTGGAGAGGCGGTGGGGCATGGCCAGCCTGGGGCTCTGGTGTGTGTCTCTTGGCTCAGTATAGAATGAAAGGCTGCCAGCCGGGGCCGTGTCCTGGCTGGAGAGCAGTGGAGGGCAAAGTCCTCTCCCTGCACCCTCCTCACTGTCTCTGCCAGGCAGCTGCTTCAGAGTTGGGGCCCAGGAGGTAGAGGGCTCCTAGAGAAGAAGTCTGCCAGTTCCCTTAAAGAACTAGAATCCTCCGTCTTCTTCTGGGTGGGGTCAGCTAATCAGGCGAGCCAACATTCTGCTGCCCAGCCCTCTCGCCGCCCCCCTGCCTCCTCTGGTTCCCGAGGCTGGCTTCATGGATCCCCTCTCAGAGCTTCCTTGGTCCCGTGAGGGTGGCGTTATTCTTACTTTGTTCCCAGTAGGGAGAAGCCTTTGTGTGTAGTTGGCTGAGCATCTAGAAGCTGCTCTTTCAAAGTCACTAGCCGGGGTGGGATGAGGATGGGCTGCTTTAGGGCCAGGGGGCCCTTGCCAGCAGCCTGGGAGGGGCTCTGCCACTTGCCCTGCTCTAGGTTGTTTTGGGCATGGCCCAGGCCCTGGACATGCCTTCTGTCCAATGCCTGGAGCCCTGGGATGCCACCCAGTCTGTCCCCTGTCCCCTCCTCCATCCACCAGTGAGCACGGCTCCCATTCTGCAGATAAGGAGCAACAGCCTAGACATGCGACACAGCCTGCCCAAGCTCCCATGGCCAGTTCTGGAAAGAGCCCAGAGTAGAATCTGGGTGCCCCGATGGCCAGGAGTTTTCTTTCCCCTTTGCCTGCCAGCAGAGGATGTAACAGACGAACAAGGGGCTCCAGTAGTCGCTGGGCTTGACCCAGGCCCGGGGCCTTTCCTTCTATGGCGGCCGCACCCGTACCTCACGCACATTCCCAATTGCGCAGAAGTGAAGTGTGGGCCTGTCCTAGAGGGACTCTGAGGCAGGGTATTCAGCCAGGAGTTCTGTGGAGAACTGGGTCCCCAGAGGCCTCGTAGCACAGCCTCTGAATCAGCCTGAGAAAGCTGGGGTGTGGGTGGTATATTTGGGGGAATGAAGGAGGCTATCATTGTTGAGTCTTAAAAACCAAAGCAGAGGCCGGGCATGGTGGCTCACACCTGTAATCCCAGCACTTTGGGAGGCTGAGGCGGGTGGATAACCTGAGGTTGGGAGTTCGAGACCAGCCTGACCAACATGGAGAAACCCCATATCTACTAAAAATACAAAATTAGCCGGGCATCCTGTAATCCCAGCTACTTGGGAGGCTGAGGCAGGATAATCGCTTGAACCTGGGAGGCGGAGGTTGTGGTGAGCCGAGATTGTGCCACTGCACTCCAGCCTGGACAACAAGAGCAAAACTCCATCTCAGGAAATCAAACAAACAAACAAACAAACACAAAAACCAAAGCAGAAAAAAATAACTGAATACAGAGGCGTCCCTGCAAGCCTGTCATAAGGATGTTTGTTTCTCATGAGCTTTTCCACCTTCTTCCTTGTTGCGAGTGGCTGCGCAGTGGTTGATTTCCATGTCTTATTGTCTGCTGGGCTCAGCCATCATGTGGTGGTGACCCCACTGCCATCACAGCCACCGTTTGTGGAGCATCTCTCATAGGCCAGGCGTGGAGCGGGGTGCTTTACCACCTCACTGAATTTCCGATACAACCCCAGGAGGTGGGAGCTCCTGTTTGTTGTTCCTATTTTGCACATAAGGGGGCTCAGAGTAGTTAAGTAAGTTGCTCGCGTTCCACAGCAGTTTGTGGGGCACCAGCTCTGGCTGACTTGAGGTCCTCACTCTTCCTCAGGGCTGTACTGATCCCTTCCTCCTCACATGGCTGAGCCCTGAGCCCAGGAGATAGAGCTGTTGGCTAAGCAGCTTAGTGTGTGCCCAGATCACAGCAGGAGAAGCAGCCAGGCCTCTGCCCCTCCACTCTCACCCTCCCTGGCTCCCTTTCCATGGGCTGGCCTTGCATGGGTTTGGCTGAGGAGGGCAGCGAAGGCCCCGTTGGTTTCCTGTTTCCTCTGAAGTGAGCTGTTGGGCAGACGGAGAGCCCAAGCCAGGTGCCAGCAATGGGCGGCAAAGGGGCGAGAGGTGACTGAGCTCAAGGGCACCGCCTTTGAGAAGCCAGCTCTGATCGTGCTGTCCTGAGGCTCCACTGTGCTCACAGGCTCTCTCGCTGGGAACCAAGGGCTTACCAGCTGGCCTTGGCTGTCAGTTGTAAGTTCTCTGGTGCCTGGCACCTGGGGCGAGGCTGTCCTTACAGCTTGTCCATCGGAACTGCTGGGTGTAAGTGTTAGCAACAGGGCCTGTCTGGGGGCACCTTGCCCCAAACAGTGCACTCCAAGGTGGAGGGTGCTTACGTGATGCTGTTTTTGACCCCAGCAGTCTGCGCAGAGGCAGGGAGATGACTATGTCTATGACTTAGGCTTCTTGACCCAGAGTCCCGTCCCCTCCCCAAGAGACTGTCAGCCACATGGACCCTGGTCCCTGTGGATGAACAAGTCCAGGCTGGCCTCATCCTCTTCCTGGGCCTCCTTTTCTTTCCCTGAACTTCCAAAGCCCCTCAACCATTTCCCCAAAGCCTGTGGACATCTCGGGAGGTGAGGAAGGTAGAATTCCCACCCGCTACCTCTCTGTCCCAGTGGGCAGGAGGCCAGGTCCTTCTCTGCCAGCCGCAGCCCTGGAGCTGGGTCCCAGCCCTCCCTCGATGGCACGAGGTGCACAGTTGGGAGGAGCAGAGGCAGCTGGTGGTGTGGGCTGGGGCCTCTGAGGAGTGGCCTGGCGAGCTCTCCTTTGGGAAGACATGCCCTCCAGTCACCTCCTGCCCACCAGACCCTGTGCTCACAGACAGCGAGCGCCAGTGGCAGCAGGTCCTGCCAGATGGCAAGGCCCCAGCTGCCCCTGTAACCGGGACCATGTGGTGGCTGGTCTCTTTAGTCACAGTGTGAGAGCCGGCTAATGTGGGAAGAGGGTTCACAGCGGCCAGTTCCTGCTGGAGTAGCAGAGAAAGGAGCGCGTGTGGTTCACTAGGCTCACACCACCCCAGCCAGGCTCAGGAGATGATTCCTGTGGAGTCAGTAGCCTTGGGGGCTTCCTTGCCAGGGCTCTCCCCTCCCCTTCCCCTCCTAGGGCAGTTGACCTGGTGGCCTCATCTCTCAGCATCCAGCAGCCTGCCTTGGGAGCTTAGGGGCCTCTTCTGCTGAGCCTCTCTCCCTCTTTGTGCCTTCCTTCTTGACCCTAAGAAGAAGGGCACTGGGTCTTTCCAAGGACTCCGGTAGCTCAGCTCACCTAGGTGCTCAGTGATCCTGGGAAGAATAGCAAACACCACCCACACCCCCAGGCCCTGCTCCCCTCCAGCCTAGGCAGGTGCATTCCCTCTGCTGCTCACTGGCAGTGCCTGGTTCTGGAACTCAGCACACACAAGGGCAGGGCTGGCTTAAAGGTTTTCATTTTAAGTCTCTTAAAATTAAAGGATTTTATTTTAAAGAAATTAAAATTTCTTCCATTTCTCTGAAGGAATGAGGCCTACCCATGCTAGGTAGGCAGCTCCATCAGGCCTGGTGGTAGGGGCCGTCTGTGGAGGTCAGGAGTGTACCCGCATGCCTGCTCCCCTCCACAGCACATTGTGGTTCTCCCACGAGTTTATCTGAGTTCTCCTGGTCTCAGCCATGTTTTATCCTGTGTCATCCCCACGGTAAGGAACTCCTTGCCTTTGCCCGTTGTGTAAAACTCAACTGCCGTTTATTTGTCCTTAGATCATTCTTTTGAGCTTCAAGGGATGCCTGGGGTTCTGTTTCAGGTCTGTGTCAGTTCTCTTTATTGTCCTTTGTGATTTTGCAGACTTGATCCAATGCCATCAGTCCTGTTTTTCCAGAATGGAGTTCCTGGCTTTTTGTATTCACCCGTCATGTCTCACCATTTCATGTGCCTCTTGGATGTCTGGTGTGCTTCATGTGTCAGAGTGAGTCTCCCCAGTAGAGTTGGGGTGCCCTGAAGGCAGGGCCTTTATCCCCCTTTCCTAGATCCACCTGCAGCCACACACACAGGAAGACCTTCCCACCGCACAGATAGACTCGAGAAGCCCCGTCTCTGCTCCCATTCTAGTCCCAGCCGGACCATGCTGAGGTCAGCTTCTTAGTGGCCACAGACATTGCCCATCCCAGGTTGGCTCAAGGCACCAGGTCCATGACACCAGAACCCTTTCCCGCTGCTGTGACAGGAGTGCTGAAGGTGTGCAGAGCTGGGCTCTTGGACTTCTTCTGTGTGATTGTTGGCTGCCAGGCTCAGGGAGCAGCCAGGTTAGTGGCCGTGATAGGCACAGCAGCCCTGAGGAAGGGCCTTGGATGCTGGGAGGGACTGAGGTGATAGGGTAGCCTATGGGGGTGGCACCAGGCTCTCTTCCATGCACCGCCTCATCTCCTGTCTGCTTCCCCTCCCTTCTCAGCTCCCTTTCTTCCTCATTGTTCTCCTCTTCCTTCCCTGCTGTGCTTTGGGAGTTATCTCAGTCGCAGGCATGCCCTCCCGCCACCCCATCTCCAGGAGAGAGCTCGGAAGAAATTCCTCATTGTTGGCTTCATACTGCCATGGGTTACTTAGAGGCTGGGGCATTTTTGAGATCAAAGGCTGCCGTTAGAGATGGTCAGAGAGCATTGGTGGCATGCAGAGCCACAGCAGAGACCACCTCCAGGACTAAGGAAGGGAGATGACAGTAAGTGTGCACCTGCTGTGTGACACATGCTGTCCACAGGGCCTGGAATCTGGCAGCAGAGGGAGCTGGGTGCTGTGGCCTTCCCAGCAATGAGCTGCCCTGGGGATGAAATCCCTGCACTGTGACACCCTCCTTGGTGTGAGTGTACCATGGGGTCTGAAGGAGGAGGGGGCAAGGTTGAGGGCTCTGAGTGGCTGATCTTGACAGATGATGGATGTGTCTGAGAGGGGAGAAGGCCCAGCCTTGCATTCTTGGGAACAGGTGCTGATTGCCTTCAGGGCTCCAGCCTCTTTTCTTGGCCTTTTCAATGCTCAGACATCCTCTTCCTTGCCCTCACCCCTGCTCTTCCCACATCTTCAAAGCTGAAGGAGTCTCCTTATTCTGGAGGTGAGGAGCAGTGAGGGAGAACTGCCTGTAAGTCAGCAGAGAACTGGACAAGGGTGCCTAGCCTTGCGCCTGGGTCAGGTCTGCAGGTGCCTTCTACACCAACCTTGTGCCTAAGTGCCAGGTTTCCAGCTAAATGCTCAACACATTTCTTCACCAAAAAGAGAGCTGAAATGAATGACTGTGGGGTTCTGTCTTGTCCATTCTGATAATGATAACAATGATGACAACAGCATCCAACACCTGTAGAATGTTCACTAGCCACCAGGCACTGTTTCTTATGTTAACTTAGTTTTTCTTTGCAATGATCTTGAAGGGATACATTTAACATATATGAAAAATGAGTTGCAGATGAATTGAGTCGCCAAGGGCTCTGTTTACAAGCATGCCTCCCCACCATCCTGTCCTTAAAATAGTGATTCCAAGTTAGTTTTCATTAATGATCCATGAGTGATGGCCAGCATGCAGCACCTAGTTTCATGTGGACATTTCTCTCTCTGGTTTATGACCACTGCACGGGGTGGATGGTTATTATTATTGGGAATAACCGTGTATCAGAGTGCAGCTCTTAGCCTGGAGAATGGGAAATGGAAAGGACCAGAGATTCAAAGAAGGCAATTTACCCAAGGTCACACAGCCCTTTAAGGCCAAGTAGAGCCTCCTAAGCATTTCTTGCCACACTCTCCCAGGCCCACCCACACCTCTGTTGCAATGGAGGGCCCCACTACCCAGGAGAGCAGGTCTAGGGCACAGTGCCAAGCCTGATGAATGTCCTTCATACCCTTTTCAAACAACAGGCTACGATTAGGCCTAATTATAGGGGCCTGGTCCCTTAATATTCTTCCTGGCATGTCTCTTGCCAATCAAATCAGTGCCATCTGCAGTGTGATTCCTGCTTTAGTGGCATCAAGGGGAGGAGTTAATTCAACCCAATGTAAATAGATTCTGCCCTCACTTTGCAATTTAAGGAGTGTTTTTCCCTCCTGTCCCGCACCCCCACATGCACCTCCTTCCTTCTGGCTCCCTAAGCTCTAGCCTGGGTGAGCAGGGTCTGGACACTCTATACCTAGAGTCACTAGCCACTGCCCAGTCTGTGTCAGAAGCAGGCCTCGAATTCCTCAGGGTTAGAGTGGGAAGAACCCATGTGTGCACATTTGCGTTTCCAACCTGGGCACCATTTGGCAGCTGATTCGGGCAATTCTCTCACCACCACCACCCTGCCCATGTACCCCTGTTTCCAGCCTCTATTTCCCTCTTCAGCCAGGGATCCTTTCTTGTGTACCCAAGGTGAGGAGCTGAACTGAGATCGTGTATGGACAGGGTTCCTGGCAGGTACCCAGCACCTTATAAGGATTGAAGAAATGTTGCCTCTTCTCCGAGCTCCTCCATTGTCCCTACCAAATCCCCAGTCCCTTGTCCTGCCCCCTCCCTCCCTCATTCACTCAGCAGGCATCAGCAGAATCCCATCTCCTATGAGCTCCTGGCCTCCCACCAAATGCTTTGTCTCCCATCCCCCTCCCCACCTCCCCGAAGCTGTGCACACAGTTGGGATGAGGGCTGTGCTGTCTCAACACCATGCTACCTGTGGTGAGTGGGTGCCGGTGGGCGTGGGTGGCTCTGATGCTACCCACAGGCACCACGACTCCTGCGAGGACCCAGCATTCCCTGGCAGGTCAGACCTATGCCTTGCCCGTCATCCCACCAGACCTGCAGTGAGAGGAGACCGTCCGGCAGGTGGCAGATGCCTGGCAGTGCCTGCAGAAGGTCTCCAGAGACATCTTCAGTAGGTGGGAGCTGCCACCCACCCCCACCTGATCAGAGGGGGTGGTTCTGGGCAGTCCTCTCTCCAGTCCCAGCAATACACCCTCTGGGAGCAGCCCCTTTGGGGATTCCTGGTCCTGGAAGACCCAGCTGTCTTCCCTGGGTGGGAGGGGCCAAGGTGAGAGCCCAGCTTGGAAGCTTTTGCTCCTGAGAGCCTGAGAGCTCACTGCCTTCCACCCCACTTTGCCCCCTGGTTTCCTGTGGTGGCTCTGCTCTCCCAACTCACGCTCTTCCTCCCACGGCGAGGGGGCTAGTCCTTCACTCTTTCCTGCAGCCAGAAAATATTTACCCAACAGTGACTGTGAGCGAGGCACTGAGCAAATCTCTATAGATCCAGTGATGAATAAGGCAGCGTCCCTGTCCAACTGGAGTGCATATTCTGGCAGGAGAGACAGACCTAAATAACCAATGCATGAGCAGTTGTTTAGTTACAGTTGTGATAAAGCCTATTTATAATATTCACTAATATGCATATAGCATTAACCATGCTCCACCATTGATCTGAGTGCCTTAACTCATTTAACCCTCACCACATTTTATGAGCAGGCACTGCTGTTATCTCCATTTTATAGATGAGGAAACCGAGGCACAGAAAGACAGAGACTTAGCTGAGTGGCAGAGCCAGGGTTCAAAGCCAGGGATCGTGGCCCTGGGTTCTGTGGGTTATGATCACCTCTGTGGAGGGGAGATGAGGTTCTGCGAGGCTCATCATGGGGGGCCTGGCTGGGTCAGGGAAGGTGGATGTGAGGAAATAGCATTTGTGGTAAAACCTGAGGGTGAGTGGGTAGGTCAGGGAGAACATTCCAGAAAGAAGGAAGCACATGACCTACAGCCCTGAGGTGGAGGACCTGAAAGGAGGCCAGTGTGGCTGCAGCGCAGAGAGGCCGTTGAGGAAGCCGAGCTGGAGGGCTGCAGTTCTTGTATCGGCAGCGCTGACCCCGCACAGTCCTTTGGCTCCAGTGACTTTTCACTCAGTGTTTATCTAACTCGAGTGAGTGAATAGTGTTTGCTGTTTCCTGCAAAGGTCCCAGGGGTTGTTGGGTACACAGGTCCTGTCTTTGGCCGCAAGCAACCTGAAATGAGGCTTGGTCTTCTTCCCGGGACCTCAGGCTGTGCCTCTTGAGGGACCCCAGCACGAAGTATGTGACTGCCTGACTCAGATCCCTCTCCTGATGCAAGCCACCCTCACCCTGGCCCACACCTGATTGTCACCAGACCTGGAGTCCCTGCTCCTTCACTGTGCAGCCTCCTCTTCTGTCATGAACTGGAAGCCCACCTCTTCCTGGAAGCCCTCCCAAACTAAAAAATGGGGGATGAAGCATAGTCATTGCCTCCAGATCCTCTTAACTATTCTGCCTCTCCCCTGCCCACTGACTCACTGGCCTGCTTCAAGCCTGTCTAGAAAGTCCCTGTAAACAAGAGGCTTTGCACTGAACTGGCTGAGAGGTTGCCTTGGAGCTGATGCCTTGGCTCAAATCTGGCTTCCCTGTTTGCTTGCTCTGTTCCCTTGGCAACTTACTCAATCCCTCTAAGCCTCAATGTCCTCATCTGTGAAACTGTGGTAATCATGGCATCTTCCTGATAGAACTGTTGCAAAGATTACATAAATTAAAACATGCAAAGGAATGGAACAGTGCCTGGCACCTAGGAAGCCTTCAGGAAATGCTAGCTCTTGCCTGTTGATAATCTCTACTCGTTGACTGCCCATTGAATGGTGGCCATTCATCAACTTGCTACCAACAGTTACAGAAAGTGTTGGACGCTCCTTTGTGCTTATTGTTATGCTAAATGTGCCCAAGGGATGCCTCGGCAAGAGGACGGAAGTCTTTAAGAGCCATCAGCCCCTGATTATGGCCGCCTCATGTCCAACGCTTGGAATGGAGGGGAAAACTATTCCCTCAGAAACTGTTTCCTCATCAAGATGAGGACTGCATGCTTGCCCTTCTCTGAGGGCAGCCTTAGATTTTGGTGGCTTTCCTTTCCCATCCTGGTACTAGGCACCTGTAGACAGTTGCATGTCCCCTGCCCAGGGATGGGATGAGGAGAAGGCAGGAAGGCATATCCTGGGGAAGGGAGTGCTGAGTTCGTTGAGAGTGGGTGCAGGTTCTCCAAGTGGCTCGCATGGCCCAGGGAGGGGAGGATGTCTCTCAGGAATCCTGGGCCTGTGTCCCAGCTCCCTCACACCTGAGTTCCAGGTCACCACATCCATCTCCCACCGTGTGCTCCCCATTGTGCTGGACCCTGAGAGACACCAAAGATGTGGCCAACACGGTGTCCTTAGGAGCTTAGAGGCCGGAATGGGAGAGCACAGGGCGAGGCTGATTCTTCATTGCATAGCATGAATCGCACAGGCTTCCAGGGGTCTAGAGGGGAGAGAAATCACTAAAAATTGGTGGCACCCTGTCAGTCGGAACTCTCCAGACCAGGTTGAGCAAAAAGTAACTAATCAGTAGAGCAGGCTTCGGAGTTCCAGGGCTTACACGACGTCATCCAGGCCTGGTTTGCTTTCCTTCCATGTCAGCTTGCTTCTTTTGGGCTGGCTACATTCCCAGACAGGCCTTGCTCTCGTGGTGGCGAGGTGACAACCAGTGGGGCTGGACTCATGACCCAGGGTTAGGTCTGGCAGGAAAGAATGCTCTCCTTTGTCCCCACTTCCTCCAGAAGCCACACTCACTCATCCCACCTGGCTTGGTCCTCGTGTCTGTCCCAGAATCCATCACTGAGGCTGGGGACTATGACACACTGATTGGCTTAGACTGAGGAGCTCTGGGGGCAGTCTGATCTGATGCTCATGAATTGAGATGGATTCCCCAGAGGAAACAGGGCCATTGCTTGAGTAAGGAGGCAATGGGTGCTGGAGAGGAAAACCATGTGCCTACTCCACACAGGGCAGGCTCCTGGAGGAGGGGGCTAAGGTAGCGAGGCTGGTGTGCAGGTCCCGGGGTGGGGTCTAGAAATGGAGGCCACAGGCTTGGAGAGAAGCCTGAAAGTGGCTGGGAACTCGGAGTATGACAGGCTGCCGGGGAGGCCGGCCTGCACAGGGGCTGGGGCTGGGACTTCTGCACGGGAAGCACAGACAGCGCTGCCTCTCCCTTGCACTCAGCTCCTTCCCTGCAGAGCAGGGGGTTGGAGGCTGACTTTCCACATGCCTGTGGGCCTGGTCTCTCTGGATGGTGCCACAGGAGCTTTGCCTTGGTTCCTCTGCGTCCTCCACGGTGCCATGGGAGGCTCCCTGGCAGGGTGTGGGGCAAGGCAATGAGTGAAGTTGGGATGAGTAAGTTAAGGCCCATGGGGTACTCAGGACAGGACTTCAGGTTTGATTCAGGAGGGTGAGGGAACTGTGATTGGGTCCTGAGCAGGGCAGGGATGGGTCAGAAGAGTTTGGGGAAGGTTCATCAAGCACCTGTCACAAAGGGGACAAGAAGGGAGAGAGAGAGCAGATGGCAGAGACACCCAGAGGCTGTTGCTGTAGTCAGGACATGGCGGGGATGAGGCTGCAATCAGGGGACTTGCAAGCAAGGAGGGCTGGGTGAGACATTCAAAGGGACCAACCACAGGATACACTGACAGATTGGGAAGGAGAATGAAGGAAAGGGAGGAGTCGGTGATAATTGGGAGTGGTGTGGGGAGCACCCACCGCTCCTCCTCCACCTGCCCCCTGCCTGTGGCAATGGAATGGGCGAGTGTGTGGGCTTTTCATTTCCCATGGGCTTTTTCAATGGGACTGTGACCAGTTTAGAACCTCCCCCTTTAAATGTGCTTCACCTGCTCGGAAACCACCTGCACAGAAGAGACAGGTGGGTAGAGGAGAGACTGTCTCTCTCCTCCCCACCACCCCATCTCATGCCCCAGACTGGACCCTGGCCTCATTGGCACCTGTGCCTTGTGACGCAGGCAGGTGAGCTCCTGGCAAATTAGCATTCCTGGCTATGCTCTCTCCTCCTGCTCTGTCGCAGTGGGGGAGCTTGCAGAGACTGGAGGGAATGACAAGCACCTCCCAGGCTCTCTTCAGCCCCACCCTCCAGCCCCTCCCAGCCACTTCTTCCTGTCCCTGCATCTGCCCCCTCCACACCTGGGAGAAGCTAGGCCCCAAAATATTGGGCCAGATATGTCACCTGCTTCCCAAGATATAGATGACAAGGCAGGGCGGGGGATGGGGGTTGTTGAGACGGCACGGGGAAGAGGAGGGGACAGACTTCGTGTGTGGAAGTTTGGATGCTGTTATCTGCCTTTTCCCGTCAGCCCCTGCCCAACATCTTCACCCAAGAAGCTGCACCACTGCCCAGCACCTTTCCTTAGAAAAAGGGGGAATTTTCTCTGCAAGGCTCTTGGTCCTTTCCTCCCTCTCTTTCTCCTTCTTTCCCCACTCCCCTTCCTTTCTTCTCCCTTTCTCCCTTCCCCTTTCCCCTTGTCCTTACTTCCTCCATCTGTCCTTCTCTCTCCTTCTACTCATTGGCATCTGGTGGCCCCCAAGTGGCCTGCATAATGAGCAGATCATTCTTTATTTTTTATTTCAATGGTTTTGGGGAGCAGTGTACACTACATCCAATGTGTGGTCTTTTATCCCAGAATGGAGAAGGTAAAGGTGAAGGCGAGAGCCCCGGTTCAGGGTTTGCTTCCCTGGGGTCATGACAGAGGCAGGGGAGGAGAAGCAGCGAATCTGGGTCAGGAGTGGGCGCTTTCTGCTCCCTTCTCACCATCAGCCTCTAGGGACTGGCATGATGATGGGCCAGGGCCAGTGGCAGCCCTGCAGAGGTCAAGGGCCAGCCTGGCTTCATAGGAAACATTCTCATGGGGAATGGGGATGTCGTCTTTGGAGGCGGTGGAACAGGGAGCCCAAGCATGGTCCTGCCCATCCCTCTGCCACCCCAAGAGGAGCGTGGTTCCTACTGCGGCTCCTTGAAAGGCACAGCTCCAGCCAGAGGCGCTGCTTGCTGTTGCTCTGCTGTTTCGTCCTCCGCGGTGTTCTCTTGCAGAGTGTCTGTCTCCTAAGCCTGGAGCTTCCCTCTCCGTGATCTGCTCTAGACCGCCTCCTCCCTGAAATTTTGCCTACTTTGCCCTGCCCACTTGTGGGAGTTCTGGGTTTCCTGAGTGCCTGAAGCCCCTCACTACTCCCCGTCTTGCAGGCAATAATAGCCAATGCTGAGGACCTAGCTGTGTCAGCCAGGACAGGAGCACCAGACATCACCAGCTCCTTTTCACCTTCGAGGTAATTCAGTGAGAGGTAATTCAGTGACGCAGAAGTGACCATTCCTGTTTTTCAGTGGAAGAAGCTGAGGCGTTGACCTGTTAGTGACCTCCTTAAGGTCATGCTGCTGCTAAACAGATGTGAAACCCAGGCTTGCGGGGCGTTGTGCTTACTGATGTTCCTTTCTTCCCTCCTGGGATCCCTGAATCTCTTTGAGAGTGGTTGTGTGTTGTCTGATTCGTCTCTGGCTTTCACGGCCCCAGCACTGTGCTTTACAAACTGAATGCACTCAGGTTATCTGTTGAACAGTGAGGGGTGGGGAGGAAAGGAAGAAAGTGAAGGACGCATTGTACAGATTATTTTGACCTTGGAGAGTCGACGACCATGTGTCTTAGGGATGATCTTCTTGTGAAGTATTTTTCAGGGGTCTGTGCATTTCCTGATTTTGAAAGTTGGCCTCTCTAGCTAGCTTGTGGAAGTTCTCATGAATGATATCCTGAAATATGTTTTCTAAGTTGCTTCCATTCTCCTAATCCTTTTCATTAATGCAAACAAGTCATAGATTTGGTCTCTTTACATAATCCCATATTTCTCAGGGGTTTTGTTCATTTCTTTTCATTCTCTTTTCCTTATTCTTCTTGACTGTCTTATTCAGAAAGCCAGTCTCCAAGCTCTGAGTTCTTTCCTCAGCTTGGTCTATTCTGTTGTTAATACTTGCAATTACATTATGAGATTCTTTTAAAGCATTTTCAGGTCTATTCGGTTGGTTACATTTTTTTCTATACTGGCTATATTGTCTGTCAGTTCCTGTATCCTTTTATTGTGATTCTTAGCTTCCTTAGGTTCAGTTTCAACGTTCTCCTGAATCTCAGTGATCTTCATTCCTATCCATATTTCTGAATTCTATTTCTGTCATTTCAGCCATATCAGCCTGATTAAGAACTCTTGCTGGAAAGCTAATGCAGTCATTTGGAGGAAAGAAGACATTCTGGCTTTTTGAGTTGTCATAGTTCTCATGCTGGTTCTTTCTCATTTTTATAGGCTGATATTCCTTCAGTCTTTGAAGTTGTTGTCCTTTGAATGGGATTTTGTTCCTTTTATTCTATTTGATGACTTTGGGGGTTTGATTGTGGTATAAGGTGGGTTTGATTTACTGGCTTCTTTTCTGGAAGATATTAGAAGGCCAAGGCTCAGCTCAGGACTCCTGAACTGCATGCACTAGTGCAAAGGGACAGGTCTCAGGTCCTGACTTTGTTCCCTGGCTCCTCAAGGTTAGGAACCTGATGTGCTGGAGGGACCAAGGTGCTCCCAGACTGCTGGTCACAGCATTCTGATGGGTGGTGCCAGCCAAAGCATTCTGCAGTGCAGTGGCAGCAGGATTCCTCCTCATTCACACATGCCACCAGCAGCAGCAGCTCACACATGCCACCAGAAGCAGCAGCAGCAGTGAGGTGGGGTGCATGCTTGTCAGCTTCAGCAAGGTACTAGCAGGTGCTGAGGTGCCAGCCTCTGTGCAGGTGTTCCCAGCAGCAGTAGTGGCAGCACAATTCTATGGGACAGGGGGCCCCTGCTGGTGACTGTATGCTTTCATGCCGATTGTGATGTTAGCATGGGGATAGGGGACTGGTGGGTGCAGGACCATGTGTGCCCTCTGCACATTCATGTGGATGGCAGTGGCCACTCAGGGCAGGGGTGAGTCTGCTGTTCTCCATGGCTAGTGTTACGTCAGCAACAGTGTTGGCACGGGCACAGGAGCAAGGCACTAGCAGGAGCTGGGCTGGTGGGCCCTCTGCCTGCAAACACTTCAATGACAGTGGCAGTGTGGCAGGGAGGAGGGGCGTGATGTGCACTCATGCCAGCAGTAGTGGCATGCTAGGGTGCGTGTGCACATGCACATTGGTGGGGGAGGAATGCAAACAAGGCAAAGTCAGGGGTGATCATGGGTGAGTGTATATCAGCAAAATGGTATGGGAGAGGCTGCACTTGGGAGGGAACGGGCAGGCTAGTACATGTCCATGAGGGCTGCTCTGTTGGAGCACTGTATTGGTCAGGTGAAGTCCACCAGCTCAGGAGCTATAATGAAGGCTCCCAGGAGGTACTTGGGGGCTGCACTGCAAGCAAGTGCAACCAGTCTGGGCCCCAGAAGAGGCCAGCAGACAAAGGGATGCTCAGGTTGGACTGACCTCATCTCATTTTCAAGACTGCCCCGCAGGGTTCGGGTCTAATACTTTCCCTAAGGCTAAAGTCTCCTATGGGAGCAAGTAAAGCCTAGGAGTGTGGGGGACCCTGGCCATGCTCCATTACAGACACTCCTGCAGCACACTCTATGGGCTCCACACTGGCTGAAATTCTGCCCTGCGATGGTTAATATTAAGTGTCAACTTGATTGGATTGAAGGATGCTAATTATTGTTTCTGGGTGTATCTGAGCATTTCTGGGTGTTGCCAGAAGAGATTAATATTTGAGTCAGTGGACAGGGAGAGGAAGACCCACCCTCAGGAAGACCTACCCACAATGTGGGTGGGCACCATCCAACCAGCTACCAGCCAGCTAGAAAAAGCAGGCAGAAGACGGTGGAAGGAGCTGGCTTGCTGAGTCTTCCAGCCTTCATCTTTTGTGCTGGATGCTTCCTGCCCTCAAACATCAGACTCCAAGTTTTTCAGCTTTTGGACTCTTGGACTTAAACCAGTGGTTTTCCAGGGGCTCTTGGGCTTTCGGCTGCAGACTGAAGGCCGCACTGCTGGCTTCCCTACTTTTGAGGTTTTAGGACTCAGACTTGGCTTCCTTGCTCCTCAGCTTGCAGACAGCCTATTGTGGCATTTCACATTGTGATTGTGTGAGTCAATACTCTTTAATAATCTCCCCTTTATATATACATCAATCCTATTAGTTCTGTCCTTCTGGAGAACCCTGATAATACACGCTGTTCCTGTCATTTGGGCTTATCCCCCAATCCCCAGGAACTGGGATGGAAGCTGTGTTGTTATAGGATAAGAGAATAAATTTTATTGACAAATATATAGATATACTGACAGTCCAGCTAGATATACTGACAGTCTCTCTCTCTCTCTCTCTCTCTCTCTATATATATATATATATATATATATATAGAGAGAGAGAGAGAGAGAGAGAGAGAGAGAGAGAGAGGAAGAAAGAAAGAAAGAAAGAAAGAAAGAAAGAAAGAAAGAAAGAAAGAAAGAAAGAAAGAAAGAAAGAAAGAAAGAGAGAGTCTTGCACTTTTGCCCAGGCTGGAATGCAGTGGCACACTCACGGCTCACTGCAACCTCTGCCTCCCAGGCTCAAGCAATCCTCCCACCCCAGCCTCCTGAGTAGCTGGGACTACAGGTGTTCACCACCACACTCAGCTGATTTTTGTATTTTTTGTAGAGACGGGGTCTCACTGTGTTGCCCAGCTGGCCCTATCTACTAGACTCAAACAACCCCCCTGCCTTGGCTTCCCAAAGTGCTGGGATTACAGGCATAAACCACCATACTCAGACTGACTTATATATTCTTAAAGTACCCTAGGCCCTGTGGATTTTCAGAGACTCCACTTCAGGAAAATGTGAGTGACTCTTCTAGTACAATTTGTGATAAAGGTTCAAGGAAAATGAAGGGAGTGTACTTTGTGGTACATAACACCCCTTTATGGGAAACCTTTTTTTTCTAAGTAAATAATAAATTTTCAGTCCCCATTTTACTTATGTATTTAGTAGTTAACCTGATTACATAATAAAATTGCTCCTCAAATTATAAGCAAGCAAGGAAGGCATAATGAAGTCAGCTATTTGGTATAACTAAAGGCAAAGAAAAAGTCTTGGATTTAAGGTTTATGGTGGAAAATTCTCAGTGTCACAATGAGTATGTAAGGTATTAAGGAACTGAGAGAAAAATACCATCTAAAGAATAGATGTGGGTAGATGAACAATACAGCTCTCTTACTCGCCCTTTTCTTTTTTTTTTTTGAGACAGAGTCTCGCTCTGTCGCCCAGGCTGGAGTGCAGTGGCGCGATCTCGGCTCACTGCAAGCTCTGCCTCCCGGGTTCATGCCATTCTCCTGCCCTCAGCCTCCCGAGTAGCTGGGACTACAGGTGCCCGCCACCATGCCCAGCTAATTTTTTATATTTTTTTAGTAGATACGGGGTTTCACCACATTAGCCAGGATGGTCTCGATCTCCTGACCTTGTGATCCGCCCGCCTCGGCCTCCCAAAGTGCTGGGATTACAGGCGTGAGTCACCGTGCCCGGCCCTTGCCTTTTTCAATAAAACCTTTCCCCAGTTTCTTTTTGAACAGAGTACTGAAGTCATTTTCCGTGTCCAGATTTTTATAGTAAATAATGAACATTTTAATTCAGGAGTGTTGAATGGAAAGTGCCAAGCTTTGATGTGATTATATTCATGTGATTGTGTATGTGTGAGTGTGTGTGTTTAAGAAGAGGTCTTCAGTAAACTAGACTACCACGGAATATTTCATGGAGGCTGTATAGCTCTGATTTGGAGAAGGTTTGTGCTATTGAAGCATCACATGGCACTTTTATGTCCACCATTCCTGCTCCATGCAAAAGTACTTTGAACAATGGGAATAATAATTAACTGTCTCTATCATTTTCTTATACAGTAATCACATACTTTTTTGCAATTTGAAATAAACTTTGTGTGTATATATATGTATATACATACATACATGTATACACATATATACCTACAATATGTGTATGTATATACATATACACATGGGTGTATATATGTGTATATGTATGTATACATGCACATACACACATATAGTATATGTAAGTATACATACACATACACATGTATACACATGTACATGTGAATATATGTATGTGTACAGATAGGTGCACATGTGTATACACATATGTATGTGTGTATGTGCATACGTATACATGCATATGCCCATATATATACACATATATGTGTATATATGTATGTGTGTATATATAAATGTAGATATATATATTTAATGAGTAGCTGAAACCCTTAACACTAACATCTCCTTTGCTATGTTCTAGAAATCTCATCCTGTTTCGCCACCTTCTCATTCCATCAATTTTATTGTCTTTCTCTTCTTTATCCTCAGCCTCTTTCTGTTTATTGTTTTCTTTTCCTTCCACCATCACATATAATCCATATCCTAAAGATGGATTATATCCATATCCTAGAGAGATGGATTATATTCCCATAATAATCACATTTTCCTTCTCACTTTCTGGATATTTAATGATCTTCATTTTGACCTCACTTTCTCTTACTATTAAATAATTTTTTTATGATTCTATTGCAAACCCTCTTCTCTTCTCACTATACACATTAAATATCCTGCATTTCAGTTACTGTCTGTATTTTTGTGTATCCCAAATATATGCCTCTATATTCACACTTCAGTTCCACATATCCCACTGCCTAAGGTGCTTCTTTAACTGAATGTCCCACAGGCACTTCAATAGGATCCATAATCTACTCCAAACCAGTTTCTCCAACTTAGATCCCCGCTTCGGTGTGTGACAATATCATCACCCATCACCTAAGGGTCAAATTTACCTCCTTCTCTCTCTCATCTCATTTTCTCTCAGTGTTGATAATTGACAATTGTTGATCTACCTCCTGAATGACTCATAGACCTACATGATTTTATCCAGCACTGCCATGCTGCTTTAGTTCAGACCTCCAGTCTTGAATGCTGATAGTTGCCAAATACTCTTCCTGGTGTTTGGGAAATATCAATGCATGAAAATAGTAAAAACAGCTGCCCTTGTGGTGCTTGCATTCTAATGGGGGAGACAAACAATACGTATAATACAATCAAACGAAATGCGCAAACATAATAATGAACATAATGGGTAAGCAAAGTCTAGGAAATTAAGAGGCTATAAGTGCTATGGAAAATATAAAATGAAGAGAAGGGCAGGAGGATATAGAACACTCTGGGAGGTGAGAAGACTGGAAAGCTAAACACAAGGCTTAGGATTGATATCATTGAGGCAACGACATTTGGGCAAAGTCTTGACGGAGGTTATGGAGTTGGCCACATAGACATCTAAGGAAAATCTAGGCCTGGCAGTGAGATCAGCTAGAAAAAAACAAGGCCCATAAAGTTAAAGTGTGTCTTGTGTGTTCAAGAAACAACAATTAAGTTAGCATGGCACTAGAGCAGACGGAGCAAAGAGGTGCATACAGTAGTAGGTAGAGAGATAAGAAACATGTTGGGGCACCAAACCAGGAAGGGGATCAAGGGTCATTGTTAGGGCTTTAGATTTCACTCTGAGCAAAACTGGGAATGATTTGCAGGGTTTTGGATAGAGCAGTGACCTGATCTGATTATGTTTTAAAATAATCAGCTAGCTGCTGTGTTGAGTATAGGCTGTAGGAGTGCAGGAGTAGAAGTGAGGAGACCTCGTGGAGGTTGTGAAAATAATCCAGGCAAAAGGTGATTGTGGCTTGGACCAGGGTTGTAGCAGGGGAGAAGCTGGTAAGAAGCAATAGACTCTAGGTATATTTTGAAAGTAAAACCAGTATGATTTCCTGATGGACTGGATACAAGGAATGAGAAAAAAAAAGTGATCAGAGATTATTCCCATGCTGTTGGCCTGAGCTAATTCTATGGAAAGAATTGCCATTACCTGAGCTATGCCATGGCTGACATAGGTTTGGGGTAGAAGATTAATAATTCATCTTTGAGCTTTTGATTTTATATACTTAAGTGGAGACATCAGGTTGGAGGCTGGACAATCAGTATAGGAGTTTGAGAGAAAGAGAGAGCTCTGAGCTAAAAAAAATATATACATTGTGGAATTGTGAGCACATAGACTGTGGGATGGGAAGAGATTACTCAGGCAGTGAGTCTGAATAGGGAAGAGAATTTGGGCCTTTTCTGTGAAGCTCTTGAATATGTGGAGGTTGGGAGGAAGCAGATTGCGAAGAAATCAGCCAAGGAGACTGGGTAAGAGAGAAACCAGTGAAGTCAGAGGAAGACCAAAACAGTGTGGTCTCCTGGAAGCCAGGTCAAAAACTGTCAGGGAAAAAGGAGTAGTCAACAGTGTCCAGTGCTGCAAGTGTGTCAAGGAAATTGAGGACTGTAAATTGATCATTTACTTACTTAGGCAGAAAAAAAGTTACCCATTTCTTTCATCCCATAAGGGACAGCATATGCCAAAATAAGCTGGATTTGTTCTTTTAAACCTCTAGCACAAGTGTACTAGAAGGTCACATTTTTCTTGGGTGGAGTTTCCTTGAACATGCTAGGAGCCTAGGTTTTTTTGTTTGTTTGTTTTTAATGTGACGTCTCACTTCGACCAACTTAATAGGATTGCCGAAGCAAGGCAGTGGTTCTCAAACTCTACTGTGTGTCAGAATCACCCAGATGGTGAGATTGCTGAGGCTCATTCCTGGAATTCTGACTCAATAGGTCTGGCTGAAGCACAAGAACTTGTATATATATATTATACTTTAAGTTCTAGGGTACATGTGCACAACATGCAGGTTTGTTACATATGTATACGTGTGCCATGTTGGTGTGCTGCACCCATTAACTCGTCATTTACATTAGGTATATCTCCTAATGCTATCCCTCCCCCCTCCCCCAACCCCACAACAGGCCCCGGTGTGTGATGTTCCCCTTCCCGTGTCCATGTGTTCTCATTGTTCAATGCCCACCTATGAGTGAGAACATGCGGTGTTTGTTTTTTTGTCCTTGTGATAGTTTGCTGAGAATGATGGTTTCCATCTTCATCCGTGTCCCTACAAAGGACATGAACTCATCATTTTTTATGGCTGCATAGTATTCCACGGTGTCCAAAAATGATAGACTGGATTAAGAAAATGTGACACATATACACCATGGAAGAACTTGTATTTTTAAGAGGATCCCAAGTGATACTGGCACTACTAGCCCCAAGACCACAATTTAAATCCCTTGATCTAAGGGCATAGCTTGGACATCAGGGTTATTCCAAGCTTCCCCAGCCATAGGTAATGGTGAACTGGGGTTCAAAGGCTCCAGAGCCTTGCTACTCTAAGTGTGGTCAGAAGAGTAGCAGTACTTGCATTGCTGGGAGGCTGTTGGAAATGAATGCAGAATGTCAGGTCCTACCCACATATGCTGAACCAGAATCCACATGTTAACAAGATCATCCTCAGATTGGGTATGTACAAATTAAAGTTTGAGAAGCACTGCTTAGACCATCTCTGGATTCTTCTTTTAGGAAACTCTGCCCATGTTAATATCATAATTGTTCTTGCTGTTCACTGATCTTTGGGAGCTCTCATTTTCTTTTTACTGTACCAAAGAATGACATTTTAGTATTTTTATCCTGCTCACAACTTTCTGTTCTCTCCTTCCCATCCTTCCAACACAATGCAATAGTCAAAGTGTCTTGAACAATCCACTTTTCTCTGTTTGTGGTTGCTCACACATGAGATTTTCCTCTTCTTTGTAAGTTTAGAGAATGTGTATTTTGCTCAGGCCTCAAGTGCTCTCAGATGAATCATGATTTTGTTTTTTAAGTCAATCATATTATCACAGTCCCCTCTTACAGTGATTGGAATCCACAGATCAGGTTCCACAAAACGGAGACTCTGAGATGAAGATTTGTGGGAAGAGGGTTTATTGGAGAGAATTCTAAAGATCAACACCTGTAGAGGATGAAGGAAGCAGGATTGTACAGAAAAAGGAGCTGTACTACAAGGCAGTCACAATAAAGTTATCAGTATATCCCGTGGGGAGCTGTGGGGTTGGGGTGATTGTTCAGAGTTGTCCTAATTTAAGGCAACAGAGCTGTGCATTTATACACACATAGTACCCATTATTGTGCACTGAGCTGCCCCTAGAAAGGAAGAGGAACCTGGGTGAAATGTTTCTCTGATGCTGAGGGAGGTTCTCAGAGGTGAATTCATCTGACAGCCAACAGCCACCAACATTCCTAGCAGCTAGGGTCATAAGTGCCTCTGCCATGAAGGGGATTATCTAGAGGGTACACTCTTTGGCCTAGCAATGAGAGATATAAACCAGGCGTGGATAAGGAGCTATACAGGAAAATTTCCTAATATAGCATCTGCAATAGTTTGTAAAAGAGGTGGGGGGCAGGAAAAGGGAAAGAGAGAAGGTGGAGGAGGAGGAGAAGGAGAAAGAAGGAGAGAAGAGAAAAGAAAAGAAAAGAGAGATGTAGGAGAAGAAAATTTTTTCCTGCTCACTCTTTTCATTCAGATTGAGATATTGCTGGGAAGGAATAATCTTTGCTACGTCAGGAGCCAAAATTGCAAATAATACTGACACATCAAGGAAGTAGGGTGGAAAGAATTTAGGAAACTGTTTGATGGCATGCATGAGCTGCTGAACCAATGCCAGTCCTCCATTCTCAGGATTTGTGCCAAATGAGATTATAAATGTTTGATTTTTTAAAAGTCTGTTTAGGTATTCTGTTACTTGCACCTGACAAAGATGTTCTTACTTTTCTTTTTCAATTCCTTTCCTCCTTTATTCTATAGCATCATTATATAGAACTTACGACATCTCATTTCTTTTTAGTTGTTTCTATATTGATTTCAGGAAAATCATTTTGGAGAGCGCTTGGCTGACATGAGTAATCCATTGTTCATACTAATGCTCTTTATGACTAGAATTTTGTAGGGTGTGTTTGGTGGTTAGGGGTGTAATATTTAGTCTCTGTAGAGGCTTACCCAGTGTTTACTGTGTCAGTAACTGTTCTAATCACTTTAAATATATTACTTGTTCAATTTCCACAACAAGCTTATAAGGTATGGTATTGTGATTATTCCCATCTATAGACAAAGGAAGGGAAGCACAGGGAATTCAAATAACTCATCCAAGGTTGATCATCTGAGAAGTGGTAGAACCAAGATCCAAACACTCACCATGAGGCTCCAAGGCCTTTGTCCTTCTCTGTAACTACCTTACAAGGAAAGGAATGAATGTTTTACACACAAACCAAATTCTTAATATGTTAATATTTTAAAGTCAGGTTGAGTAATTGTAGTTTTCTGAAAGCTACTGTCTATGAAAAGAGTCAAACTCTGTAAAATATTTGGAGAGAGTTATTCTGAGCCAAATATGCATGACCATGGCCCATGAAGACACAGCCCCAGGAGATCCTGAGAACATGCGCTCAAGGTGGTTGGGCCACAGTTTGAATCTACATGTTTTAGGGAGACATACGACATTAATC